>NC_000017.11:12006262-12309292 GCF_000001405.40 Homo sapiens | reverse complement strand
GGAATATGGTGCAGCCATAAAAACCAAATAGATCTTGTCCTTTGCAACAACATGAGTAGAGCTGGAGGCCATTATCCTGAACAAACCAACACAGGAAGAGAAAACCAAATACCACGTATTCTCACTTAAAAGTAGGAGCTAAGCATTAAGCACTCATAGACATAAATATGGGAAGAACAGACACTATAGACTACTATAGCATGGGAGGGGGGTTAAAAAGATATTTATCAGGTGCTATGCTCACTATCAAGGTAAATGGATCTGTACTCCAAACTCAGCATCACACAATGTTTTCTTGTAACAAATCTACACATGTACCTGTACCTAAAATAAAAGTTGAAAAAAGTTCTAAACAGCTCTTGGGTCTAAGAGTCACCCAAACTAAAAGTATAGATCATAGAAGTTAACAGCAATAAAGACATCTGCCATCAAAACCTGTTGGTTATAACTTAAACAGTGCTCAGGGGAAAAATCATAACCTTACTACTTATAAAAATGTAAGCTTTTAAAAATTAAATATATTAAAGATTTAACTCCAGAAGCTAGAAACAAACAACAAAATTAACTTTATTAACAGAAATAAGAAATTAGCTAAGTCAGGGGAAATAAGTAGAAAAATAGAATAAAGGGAAAAATTGTAAAATAGATAAATTCAAAAATGGTTTCTGGCCAGGCACAGTGGCTCATGCCTGTAATCCCAGTACTTTGAGAGGCCGAAGTGGGCGGATCACTTTAGGTCAGGAGTTCAAGACCAGCCTGGCCAACACAATGAAACCCCATCTCTACTACAAACACAAAAACTAGTTGGGCATGGTGGAACATGCCTGTAATGCCAGCTACTCAGGAGATTGAGAATCGCTTGAGCCCAGGAAGCGGAAGTTGTAGTGAGCCAAGATCACGCCATTGCACTCCAGTCTGGGTGACAGAGGGAAACTGTCTCAAAAAAGAATAAAAAGTAAAATAAATAAATAAATAAATAAATAAATAACAAAAGTGGTTTTTTAAAAAATAAGGCAAAAAGAGATATTATCTACCCTAATTGGGAAAAAAAGCATGTAAATACACAAAATAAGAAATTAAATACAGAAATATGCACAAATGCAGAGAAAATAAAGAGAATAAGAAACCATCCTCAGCACTATGCAAATATACTTAAGAAGCCAGATGACATATTGTTTTAATAGAAAAGTAGGAATGACCAAATATGACCACAGAAGAAGTAGAAGAAGTAACTTGTGGGAGAAGCACATCATGAAGTAGAATGTTGGTGGAAATGCAGCAGGAGGTGAATCTGGAGAGATGGAAATGAACTGCGAAAGCCTAGTAAACCCAAGGAAAGAGTTCCAATTTTACCTTGAACTTCAGAGCCTAAAGATATGAAAAACTAATGCTCTCAAGGAAGGAAGAGGCTGAGTGCAGTGGCTCATGCCTATAATCCCAACAATTTAGGAGGCCAAGGCAGGAGGGTCGCCTGAACCTGGAAGGTCCAGGCTGCAGTGAGTCATGTTTGCACCACTGCACTCCAGCCTGGGCAACAGAGTGCGACCCTGTCAAAAAAGGAAAGAAGGAAAGAAAAAGAAAAGAAAAGAAAGGAAAAGTAAATAAAAGGAAAGGAAAGGAAAAGGAAAGAAAAGCAGAGGAGAGGAGAGGGGAGGGGAGCAGAGTGGAGCGGAGGGGAGGAAGAATGAAGATAGAAAGATGAAAGAGAGAGAGAGAAGGAGGGAGGAGAAACAAATTAAGAAATTAATCATATCCTTTTATATAAAAACCACAAGAAGTTAGAAAATACAATGGAAAATTATTTCACTTTACAATAGCAACAAAAAGAATAAACTGCCTTAAAAAGGTAAGAGAAAGAAAGAAAAAGAAGAAAGAAAGAGAGAAAGAAAGAAAAAGAAAGAAAGAAAGAAAGAAGAAAAGAAAGAAGGAAAGAAAGAAAGAAAGAAAGAAAGAAAGAAAGAAAGAAAGAAAGAAAGAAAGAAAGGAGGGAGGGAGGAAGGAAGGAAAAAAGGAAGGAAGGAAAAAAAGAAGGAAGGAAAGAGCAGTATCCAATTTTGCCATTTACAAGATTGCTCTGACTGACAAAGAAAATCAAAATGGAACAATTGTAATAGAAATCACAGATACAGTTAATAAATAAAACCTGCTTTCCATAATAAAATATTCCAGATAATTTCACAAAATAACTGTGTCAAACCTTTAAGGTTTAATTCCAATTCTATTTTAATTGTTCAAGGCATGAAAAATAAGTAAAATTTCCAATTCTTTTTATGAAGCCAGACACTTGAAAACTAAACATTACTAAAATAGGTAAATTTCACTTGTAAATATTGATGTTAAAAAAAGCTTACATAAGATGTGAGACTACAAAGGCATATTCAAAATCAATGTCCAAGTTCAAGTAATATCAGGAATTATAATCAAGAATAATCAAAAGATAATTTGATATCAGAAATTGATTAATGTATTTTATTTGATAGTGAAAGATCATGAGAGCTTCTTCAAAGATACTTAGAAGCCATCTATTAATAATAATATTCAATATCTGTTATTGACCAAATAAAAAACTAAATGGAATAGAAATAGATAAAGCTATATATCTATCCATAGGCCAATAGTACACTTAATGGAAACACACTAATAACTCTACCATTAAAAAAAGGAACAAAATAAGGATGTCTGCTAATACTGTCATTATTTAATTTAACATAGAGATACTAACTGAATCAATTACATATGACAAAGGAATAAAAAGGTTATAAAACATAGAAAGAAGGAAGTAATCTCATTATTTACAAATTATATAATTGTACGCCTATAAAACTCAGAAGAATTAGCCTTAAAACTATTATAAATAGTAAAAATGTAAATAATAGCCTTTTATATAAAAACCACAGGAAGTTAGAAAATACAATAGAAAAATTATTTCACTTACAACAGCAACAAAAAGAATAAACTGACTAAAAAGTTATGAAAATCTGCAAAATATATCTCAAGAAAAATTTAAAGTTAAACTGATCAAGTTTTTAAAAAAACCCATGATTGAAAAAAATTTTTTAAGATTATTTAAGAAAAAAGGAGATCTGACAAGGGGCTAATATCCAGAATCTACAATGAACTCAAACAAATTTACAAGAAAAAAACAAACAACCCCATCAAAAAGTGGGCAAAGGATATGAACAGACACTTTTCAAAAGAAGACATTTATGCAGCCAAAAGACACATGAAAAAATGCTCATCATCACTGGCCATCAGAGAAATGCAAATCAAAACCACAGTGAGATACCATCTCACACCAGTTAGGATGGCAATCATTAAAAAGTCAGGAAACAACGGGTGCTGGAGAGGATGCAGAGAAATAGGAACACTTTTACACTGTTGGTGGGACTGTAAACTAGTTCAACCATTGTGGAAGTCAGTGTGGCGATTCCTCAGGGATCTAGAACTAGAAATACCATTTGACCCAGCCGTCCCATTACTGGGTATATACCCAAAGGACTATAAATCATGCTGCTATAAAGACACATGCACACGTATGTTTATTGCGGCACTATTCACAATAGCAAAGACTTGGAACCAACCCAAATGTCCAACAATGATAGACTGGATTAAGAAAATGTGGCACATATACACCACAGAATACTATGCAGCCCTAAAAAAAAGATGAGTTCATGTCCTTTGTAGGGACATGGATGAAATTGGAAATCATCATTCTCAGTAAACTATCTCAAGGACAAAAAACCAAACACCACATGTTCTCACTCACAGATGGGAATTGAACAATGAGAACACATGGACACAGGAAGGGGAACATCACACTCGGGACTGTTGTGGGGTGGGGGCAGGGGGGAGGGATAGCATTAGGAGATATACCTAATGCTAAATGATGAGTTAATGGGTGCAGCACACCAGCATGGCACATGTATGCATATGTAACTAACCTGCACATTGTGCACATGTACCCTAAAACTTTAATAATAATAATAAAAAAGGAGATCTGAACTTTAAAAAAAAAGAAACCCTTTCCTATTTTGATATCATAAAGATATTCTCTTACATTTTAGTCTCAAATTTTTAAAGTTTTGCTCTTAACATTTATATTTTAATGCCCCAGGAAGACATTTATTTTATCTATAATGTGAGATAATAAACTTAATTTTACAGGGATAAGCAATTGTACCAGCTTCACATATTCTGTCACCCATCACTTTTCCTAATGATTAGTAATGTCACCTCTACAATAAATTAAATTTCCATTAAAAAAGAAAGTTATTGAATAAGAATACTAAATATTATAAAGATTTCAAATATTTCTAATCTATAGTAATTGCAGATGTTACAAATAGGTTTTCAAAACAATAGAGAAATTTATTCTAAAATGTATATAGATAAATAAACATCCAATGATATTTGGGGCATTTATGAAATAAGGAAAAATGGGAGCCAGTACTACCACACTGAAAAAATATTAAAAGCTGCAGTAATTGCAATGATGTGACACTCATGATTGAATAGACAATAAATCAATGGAAAATATAAAGGAGTCCACCAATAAACCCCCAAATATTTGGGAGTTTCATAAATAATAAAGATAACACAACAAGTCAGTGAAAAAGAAAACTGGCCATTCACCAAGTGGTATTCATAACCAATTAGGGAAAGAGAAAAAAGATCCCTACCTCACTCCCAATACTAAAATAAATTTAGGTATCACAGATTTAAACTTTGACAAACTAGAAAAAGTACTAAAGAACACATGCGAACATTTTTTTAAATAATCCTACACTGAGAAAGACTTTTCTAATTATGACCATCCCCCTCCCAAAAGCCAAGAAGCCCCAAAAGAAAAGATTGATAAATTTGACTTCATCAAAATGAAAAGCTCTAAAACATACATGTCAGAAGTTCTGAATGGGGCTACAGGCAACCTCAAATGACATGACATGCTGGGGCAAAACTGTTGAAACATGTCTCAGACAAAGGGAGAAATCCCTTTCTCAATGAACGACACACACAAATCATGGATGAGAAAATACAAATGCTTTTAAACATGTGCAACTCAATTATAATAAAAAATGCAAAAACATAAAGAAAAATAAATGCAGAAATATAAAATCTTAAGATACCATTTCTCCTCTATCAGACAGGAAAAAATGAACCTTGGCAGCATGCTATGTTGGTAGGCATGGGTGTTACCATAGGTATTGGCACAGGTGTGGGAAAACAGATATACTCCAACCTTAGTGGTGGTAGAATACATTGGTACAGCCTCCATGGAGGGCAGTATGGATCCTAACACAATGACAACTACACATTCCCCTCGTTCCAGCAATTCAAATTACTCAGGTGTGAAATTATGTAGTCAGTCAACACCCCAGAGTACAAATATTTATGTGTTTATCAGGCATTGTTATAATTGCTAAAGATACAGCAGGAAGCACAACAAAATCCTTCCTCTTTTCATGGAAGAAACCTTTGGTGAGGGGCAGACAATAAACAAAAGAGACCCAAAAAAAAATAAATTCTGGTTCATACAAACAATGGAATACTCTAAAGCTGTTTCAGAAAATGAAGCAGTTGTATACATATTGATATGAAATGAATTCCAAGATATAACAGGGTAACAAGCAAGGTGCAGAACCATGTGTATATTTGGGTAATATCATGTGCTATTTGGGTAAAAATTTTCCTTATGCACGTGCATGTACACACACACACACAAAGCACACATAAGAAGCTGGAAATAAGAGCTGTCTTTGGGTGGCTGGAGGGTCAGGATGGAAAGGAGTGTTATATTTTGCTGTGTACCCTTTTGTACCTTTGGAATTATGTGCCATGTACATGTATTAAATATAAAGTAATGCATGAAAACAGCTGCCAAAAATATAAATAAACAAAGATGTTTGGGTGGATATATGCCCAAACAATAGTTAAATCTGAGTATACTATTATACTAAATAATAGAAACTTCAAAAAGCATTAAAAAAATGGAAATCTACAATATAATAAGTGCTCTGTGTTTCTTATTAAATTCATGCTTGCAAAATTACTGTTTGACTTCTAGTCATATTTTGTTGTGGATTCCCTATTTTTCCTTCTCTGGGTCAATTTTCAGCAGAGAAGCTTTCAGCATCTGGGCACTAAAATGTGATGTAGTCTACACATGGCCACTTTAGTGTCCCCACAGAGCATCGGCTGACTCTTAATTTGCTGGGTGCTTTATTTATTCCATGTCTTTCAGAAGGACCAGTGTGGATTGAGGGGCTGCCTGTGCTTCTCAACTGTTTCTTTCCCAACACCTGCTGGTCTACTTCTTCTCCCCTGGAACAGCTCCATTCCTAGTTATGCAATGTTTTTCTGTCAACGTCATTGGGACTCTGCCAGTCCCAGTGGTTTCTAATGAGTCCTTCATAATCATCAGATAAATCACTGTTAGGGCCTGAATGTTTATGTCTCCCCAAAATTCGTTTGTTGAATTCCTAACCTCCAGTTCCTCAAATCTGATGGTATTTGGAGATGGGGCTTCAGGGAGGTAATTAGGGTTAATTGAGGTTATGAGGATGGGGCCCTCATGTGATGGGACTGGTGCCCTTATCAGAAGAGACACCAGAGAACTTGCTGCTTCTCTTCACAGGCACACAAAAAAGGAGATGATAGGAACACACAGCAAGATGGCGCAGCCTACAAGCCAAGAGAAGGAGCTTCAGGATGAAATCTACCTTGCTCACACCTTGATCTTGGACTTCCCAGCCTCCAGAACTGTGAGAAATAAATGGCTGTTGTTTAAGCCACACAGTCTGTGGTATTTTGTTATGGGAACTTTAGCAGACTAATTCAGTCCCACTTTTTATCTCAGGGGGCCAGGCCCTCCTAAAACACAACTTACTCTGGAGATCTGAAGATGGATGGTGGTGATGGTTGCCAGACAATGTGAATGAACTTCATGCCTCTGAACTGCACCCTTAAAAATGATGAAAATGGGCCAGGCCAGTGGCTCACGCCTGTAATCCCAGCACTTTGGGAGGCCGAGGCAGGCGGATCACAAGGTAAGGAGATCGAGACCATCCTGGCTAACATGGTGAAACCCCGTCTCTACTAAAAATACAAAAAAATTTGCCGGGCGTAGTGGCAGGCGCCTGTAGTCCCAGCTACTCTGGAGACCGAGAAGGAGAATGGCGTGACCCGGGAGGCGGAGCTTGCAGTGAGCCGAGATCACGCCACTGCACTCCAGCCTGGGCGACAGAGCAAGACTCGTCTCCAAAAATATAAAAATTTAAAAAATAAATTATGAAAATGGTCAATTTTATGCTACACGTTTTACTACAATTAAAAAAAAAGACCGCAGCCAACTCATTTTAAACTCAATTACCTCAGCCCACTTTCTTCCCAGCTTGCCCAAAAGACAGACATATCTACAGCCTCTCCATGGAATAGGATACTACAGGAAAGATGCTCACCACATAGTTATTTATTGTTTGAAAATAGAACTGTGAAAAAATTTGTAGGCATGGGGAGGGGTGCAGGGTGACTAAACTGTCACACTGTCAGTTAATAACCCCCAGGGATGCTGGAGGCTATTTTAAAACGTTGTATTCAGAGCCCTGGAAGAGTTTGTGATGACGATCAAAAATACTAGACGCTTGAAAAAACAAAATCCTGGGCTTGCTGACTAGCAAAGGCAAAGACGCTAGAATAGCAGGCTTCAGAAACATAAGGAGAAAGAGAAGGATGGGGAAGGCTGCAAAACGGAGAGGCTAACAGGGAGGGCCTTGAAGAAAGAGCCTCCGAAAACTCATCCTCCCCTGAAGTCTGAGAGCTATCACCATGATATTAGCTGGGCTTCACGTGAAATAAATTTCTAGTCTGTGTCTAGATTCCCTGATCCTTTTGGTGATTTGTTGTATCCGTTGTTCACGTTCTTTGTTTGTTTGTTTTGAGATGGCGTCTCACTCTGTCGCCCAGGCTGAAGTGCAGTGGTGCGATCTCGGCTCACTGCAAGCTCCGCCTCCCGGGTTCACGCCATTCTCCTGCCTCAGCCTCCCGAGTAGATATATGTTTTCCCAAATGGCATTTACATGGCTCCCCGGTCATAGAAGATCGGTGGATCCTAGCTTCTGGTAAAAATCCCCATTCCACAGTGTGCCATTCTGTATTAGTCAGGTTCTCTAGAGGGACAGAACTAATGGGAGATATATATATATATATATATATATGTTTATTATTAACTCACAGGATCACAAGGTCCCAGCCGTCTGCAGGCTGAGGAGCAAGGAGAGCCAGTCCGAGTTCCAAAACTGAAGAACCTGGAGTCCGACGTTCGAGGGCAGGAAGCATGAGCACGGGAGAAAGATGTAGGCTGGGAAACTAGGCCAGTCTCTCTTTTCACATTTTTCTGCCTTTTTATATTCTAGCTGTGCTGGCAGCTGATTAGATTGTGCCCACCCAGACCCAGGGTGGGTCTGCATTTCCCAGCCAACTGATCAAATGTTAATCTCCTTTGGCAACGCCCTCACAGGCACAGCCAGGATCAATACTTTGTATCCTTCAATCCAGTCAAGCTGACATCAGTATTAACCATCACACCTTCTCTGATTCATTTCTGCGGTGAGATAGAATAAAGATGCATGGGATTCAGAAACTGAAGACGGAGGCTCACGCTGGGCCTGGCTTGCTGGCTCCTGTGCAATGTGTATATGGAAGAAAATTGTGGTAGGAGTGAATATTGTCACTGTTATGTAGGCCATGCAGCTTCTCTGAACCTCAGCATCTTCAGCTATGAAATGCAGATAATACTGGGTAATATGCCACACCCATTGTGGTTATGAGGATTACATGAGACGAGGTGCATTGCAGGAGAAAATCTTGAAATAGTCATCTTGGTGCCCTCCTTTCTACACACTCCTATTTCCCTTGAGGAAAGTAGCAGTATAGGTATGAAAATGAGAAGACCCAGAAACAGTCAGTGCTCGAAATTGTGACTTCCACAACAGGCAAGAGAATGCAAAGTTTATAAACACATAGAGGAAAAAACTACCCTGGTCTCAGCCCCTGCTCCCAGGGAGGTTTGGGAAGCCTCACTTGGAGTAGGAGATGGGGGTAGGGAAGAGGAGGAACGTGGAAGATGGACATTACTTTGTAAAATGCACTTTGTTACTGAAAAATATAGACCGTTAAGTTACAGGATACAAATTCTTTAACTTAGCACCATTAAAGTTAAAATTGATGCCAAAGGCCACCAAATTTATAATACCAGAAGATTGAGAAAGGTGGAGCTATTTTGGCATGAAGCTCCGAAAATATAACGTACTGAGCCATTTTGCCTTGTTACATAGATAATGGTAAAGGCAAGACATTCACCTTGAACTTACAAAGAATTTAAACAGTAAGCCAAGTCCTGTGAAGGCTCTTTCTTGCCATATTTATACTTTATTCTGTGTCTTGTCATCATAAAATTCAGTAGTTTGTTTACAAGAAACTTTCCTGTGAAATTCTACTTTAACTACTGTACAATGGTTGCTTGTTATATTTTCATTATCCCTCATTCTATATTTGTTTACCTGTTTGAGGTAAGAAATAGCATTTATTTATGAGTTACAATTAATTCAAACAGATCCTTACAAGGTGGGGGGGGAAATCTCTTCTTTTTATTTCTACTATAATAGAATTTTTTTAAATGCAACATGGAATCTTGGTATTTCCAACAAATGTATAGTGTAAATATTACTTTTATTAATTTTAAAGTCAGTAAATCATGTGTAATATCTGCAGTATGGTTTTCAAAAATTATTAAGCTCTTAATTTTAATGACAGCATAAGGTACCTCCCATCAGTATGATACTTGGCTATTTATAGAGCAAATAAAGAAAACTTATGTAAGCTAAAATTTCCACCTAAGACTTAAGAAAGGTGAGAACCAAAAGAACTGGTTGAGAAAAGAATTAGCAAGTGCTGGGCAAGGTATGGGGGAAACGCTTGGTGAAGCAACCAATCTAAGCCAATCTGGCATCCAGGGATGATAGATCCTTGTTATACAGGCTGGTGGTTGGAGAAAGTGATATAATCTTTCCATTCCCTGCAACCTTACTACCAGTTCTAATCAAGTCTCAGACAAAATGTGACATCTCTATTAGCAAGCAGGCATAAACCGTAAGTTTCCGTAGCTTGGGAAAGGCAGTCTCAGGTGCCCCCAACCAGTCCCTTGCAGAACAAGCTCCCTTGGAAGAGGATGAAGAAGTGTTCACAGGCCCAGGTAGGCAGGGAAGGTAGCAGGGCCGCCATTGATATAGACAGGTGTAGGGCCAGTGCTGCACAACTGGCAGGACTGGCATAGACTTCAGAGTTAGCTAGTTCCTTCTACCTTATTTGTGCAAGATTGGTGGACACTGTTGTACTGCTTCTCCTTAATCATATAACTTAAACACCATTAATATCATCACTCTAAAACTACTTCTATTTTTATAGTAATTTGACAAACCTAGTATTAATTCATACTAGAATATTTCACAGGCTAATAGCCCCTAAGAAGTCAAATAGAAATAACTCACTCTTACATATCACAATATTTATGCTAAAATATTTTTACATGACACAGTTATACTACTAATAAAGCCATTGTTTCATATCAAGTGAATAAGTGAGGGGTCACAATAATTAATAAAAAGCTGACATTTAGTAAGCACTACCCATGTACTAAGTATCGTACTAAGGATTTGCTTTATCTTATTTGATAATTTCAACAACTCCGTGACTTGTGTGGAGTTATCTCCATTTTGCCAATGAGGAAACTGAGGCATAGAGAGATTAAGAAACTCACCTGAGGTCACCTAGTTAACTACAGTGAAAGACACAATTCAAATCTAGGTTTGCTTAACACCAAAGCACACACTATTTGGGAAAGGAAAGGCACTTTCGATGTTAAACGGAGTAGTTTGAGTTTAGACCCTTGACCAAGCCATGTACAGAAGCAGCAAAACCTTTCTACCATAAGTAGGGAAAATGTGCAGAAATCTGCCCAGATGTTAGATGTGGAGGACAACTAGAAGAGTGATTCAAGAATTCAGACTCCGAGAGTTAAAAGGGATCTAGGGATCCCTCATTTTACAAGAAACTAAAGACTAGGAAGGGAAGCATTAATGATGCCGAAGAAATTAACAAAGGTTCCTGACTTACTAGGTCAATTAATTCATTTTCAATATGTTGTGGTTTAGGCTGCACTGGGCAATAGAATGCCTGTGATCCTGTGATGAGTGGGGGATGTGGCTTTTCTCCCCTATCCACTGAGGACAGAGAGGAAATCTGGTTTTTTATTACTTGCCCCTAAAGCAAATATCAGAAACAAACCAACCAGTAAATGCTGAACAAATGATTGCATATTTTTCATTAACCTTTAAATGGTATCTATCACAGTTAGATGGTGGAAGACTTTACTTTCTATGCTGCCATGTATTACGTGTACAGACACACACAAACAGCAAGCGCCAAAGGAAGGCATAGGAGAGGAACTTACCTGAGTCTGAGAAGGGGGCCTGAGTCCTAGCGAGAGGGTGACCTTTTAGTGACCCTTAAAGAATATGCAGGAGTTACACAGGTGATCCAGGTAGAGGGATGAATGACATATATTAGAGGGTAAGTGTTCTGGGAAGAGATGATGGTTAAAACACAAAATGGGCTGGGTGCAGTGGGATTACGCCTGTAATCCCAGCACTTTGGGAGGCCGAGGGGGGCTGATTGCCTGAGCTCGGGAGTTCGCGACCAGCCTGAGCAACATGGTGAAACCCCGTCTCTATTAAAATACAAAAAAGTTGGGCGTGATGGCATGAGCCTGTACTTTCAGCTACTTGGGAGGCTAAGGCAGGAGAATTGCTTGAACCCGGGAGGCAGAGGTTGCAGTGAGCCGAGATCACACCACTGCACTCCAGCCTGGGTGACAGAGCGAGACTCCGTCTCAAAAAAAAAAAAAAGAAAGAAAGAAAAAGGAAAACACACAAAATGGCCAAGATTCTGGCGTATCTTGGGTTTGAATCTAGGAAGTTGAAACTTGTGGTGTAAGTTAGAGGAGCACAGAAGGGGTTCGGAGAATGGTCATGGGAAGATCTTATGATATCAAATTTGTCACTTCTACAATCCTAGATTTTTTGGAAGCAGAAAGGTTTGCCCTAGGGTGTGAGGGAAATTAGACATTAATCATTAACACCTAATTGAGGATCTCTCTCGGAAGGACTCAGAAGAATTGAAAAATTACCAGGAAAGGGAGTGCTTTAGAGCTGTCTGCTGCACTGATACCCAGGGCAAATGTCTGTGGATCTACTTATTACAGGGGAATTCAGAACCTCTCCTAAATGAAGCCAAGGGAATCTTTTAGGGTTTGATGACCTCCCACCAGGGCCATGGCCCTTTTTTAAAATATTGATATATAATAGTTGTGCATGGCACTTTGTAATGCATCAAAGTGTTTCTGTACGTGGATTTTAAACTATGGAGGTCAGAGGTCATTTCTCTCCAACTCACTCACCATTGCACCTAGCCCCAGGCAGCCTACAATTAGGCAAAGACATGCTATTGACAGTAACTCTGACCCGTCTAATAGAAAGATGTTCCATGCCGCCTGTCAGTGAATCTATTTGCATTAAAATCTAAGGTTTCTTTCTTGTTTTTTATCCTCTGCTAGCTGCCCTGCAGGAACAGATGTTGTTATTCGGAGCCTGGCATATTATTGGAATGACTTAACTGCATCCTCCATTGCCAGCTCATTGTGTTTAGAGTTTGAAGGCATCGCGGTGTTTCCTTTTCTTCTTTTGATTAAAACGATGTGCCAAAAACCATATAGAAATCAGAGACCATAAGCCTTCCAAGACAGTCTTTGCAGGAGAAAGGACGTTTCTCTAAATAGCAGAGCCTGTTCTCCTTCTGTCTTTTTTTCCTGTGCAGAGCTGGCTCCAAACAGGCTCTCCTCTGGTGCAGCTTGACATGCTGTGTCTAACAGGCAGTGACAAGGGCTTGCAGTGGTGGGGGAGGGGTGGGCTGCCACTCAGCAAAAGCCAGCCTTGGGACTTCCAGGTGTGGTTTTCAACACAGTTTCTGTTAGAGTTTGAAACACCTAAGAGTCTTTCTCACTTTGTCTCTCTCTGTATAATCTCTCCCACTTTTCTTGAAATGTGAAGGCTTCTCAGTAGATCTTTCGTATTCCTACTTTTGACATAGATGCAAGCAATGCATTTTTCTACCAAGGAAGAATCAGCCATGCGAGCACAGTGGTAATTAGCTACTGACAGCTCACATGGGAGGGCAACTTTAGGGCATAGTAGGGACTATGGTGAAATGGAGAATGAGTTTCTTGTTCGAAGGGGGCAAACAAAAACAAACAAAAAAAGAAGTGGGCAAACATTTCCCAGCTTTAGCCAATCTTTGCTTCGTGGGACTGGCATGTAGATACTGTGTGAACAAATCTTCCCATTGTTTTTTGAAAGAAGCCAAAAATCTATACTTTTATAAGAAATGTACTGCTTTTTAAATGTTGGGGTTTTTTCAACTGTGACAGACTAGACAAGATGGCTATGGGGTGGATTTGGCTTGCAGGTCCCCTGATGCTTCAGTTATGATCGAGGTCCACTCTGCCATTTTGCAGATGAGGAAACCAAAGCCTAAAATGGTAAACTGACTTCTTCACAGTCCCGGAATGAACAAGAAGTAAGCAAAGGCAGAGTAAGGACTCTGGTCAGTGTCCTGAATCTCAGTCCAACCTTTGGCAGCCACTACCATTAAACAGCTATTCCTATAGATATGGCTTGTTTCCCAACTATATTATAAGCATATATATCTTTTATATCTTCCATTGCCCTTAGAACAGTGTTAGGTCGTAGCAGATGTTTAGCTCATGTTTGGATAGATGAATGGATAATTGAGTGGATGGATGGATGGATGGATAGATGGACAAAAGGAAAAATAAACAAAGGAATGAATATAGTTTCTTAATGGTAAGTATAAATCAGATTGTAAGAATGGATTGATATTTGAATGGGGAACTTTAATTTCTGGCTTATTTTAGACTTAGCTTAATTTACCCAACTTAAGGAGAAATTATTCCTAGAATTTCTCTAGAGTCTACATCTCTGCATTTTCTAGAGTCTACACCTTCCCCCACTCTTCAACCCCAAGCTGGAAACTGATTTATTCATTTATAAGATGAATGTTTATTGTAGCAATATCTGAGGAAAGAAATTGAAAAATGTGTATGCAACTCCATTAAAAAACAACTTCATATACTGTAATCCATCTACACCATGGAATATGACACAACCACAGAAAACAAATTAGATTGATTGTATTGACGCAGGATTTTCATTTAGGCATAATTGAGCGAAAAAATCAAGATGCAGAAAAGTGTGTTTAATGGTATCCCAATTTTTAAAAATCAACCCTTTAATATATATGTGCATGTGTATGTTTATTAGTACATATATAATGTTAATTATATGTGTCTAGAGAAAAATATAAAATATATACATTTATTCGCTTATTTAAATTACCAGATTATCTTGCTGCAGGAGACTAATAAGAGGCAGGGAAGCATGAGAGGAAAAAGAGTAACCACCCAAAAAGGGAAAGTAAAATATGGCTTCTTTTCCAGCCACTGAAGAAGAAAGTGGTGGGGACTCAAGAGAAAAATAAGATCAGCTACAATGCGTGTTGCGCCTCTGAATAGAACTGTATACAACTCAACCTAGCTAGACCTCGTATTTTCATGAAATAAACTGCATTGCTCTGTTTTATGTTAAAGACACAGTAAGAAGGTCACACAAATATTGGGACATTCAGGTAGAGTTTTATTTTATGGTTAAGTCACTTTTTCCAAACATGAATGCTCTACTAGTCCCAAAGATGCAGAAGATTCTAGTTGCTTGAAACAGAAACAGGGAGTTTCTAGTCTCAGTTATAGATTATGCCCAGAAACAACAGGGTCCTTCCGCTGCTGAACCTTCCAGTTCATGTTTCAGATCCCCTCTTGCCTTAGGGTTCGTTCCCTTTCAGAGCCTCTGGTGTTTTTTTTTTTTTTTTTTTCCTGTAATCTGGTCTCATGCTGAGCCTACTTCAATCTACCAAATGCTTTTATACCCATAAAACTCAGTAGGGTTAATCTCCAGCCCCTAGATCCCCAGGTAGAACCCTCAGTCACTATGCAAATGAGTCAAAGTAGCTCCACGTCCCAGCCCAATTCAGATCAGAAGGTTGGGGAATGAGATCAACTGCCCTACCTAGAGGTGTCTTGCTCTTGGATCCTACCCAAAGAAAATACCCCATTACCCATGTCCACTCAAATCAAAATCCTCACGTTTAAAAAACAGTCCTATGGATGTTAAGTTTTCAAATTTTAGAAATTTGAGCAAAAAGACCCAATCTTCTTGAGGAAGATTATGATATAAACCATAGAATTCTAGTAGGACAGGCATAAGGGAAGATGAGACTCAGGATTCCCTAAGCATAAGGAAAGTTACAATGGCTTTTCCCTCCTGATGGGCTAATAACTGCTGTCCCATGGAAGCCCATGCTTCAATACTTGGCCTACTGGATAAGTCACACATTTTTGATATATTATCCCCCCAATTTGATAACACTATTGATTACCAAAGGCCCTGAAATCATTTTAAGTTATATTGGAACATAAAAACTTAAAAAGAGCTGTAACTGGGCAATATAGGAGCCCCAAAAGTATGTTTTTTTTTTTTGTTTTTTTTTTTTTGAGACGGAGTCTCGCTCTGTCGCCCAGGCTGGAGTGCAGTGGCGGGATCTCGGCTCACTGCAAGCTCCGCCTCCCGGGTTCACGCCATTCTCCTGCCTCCGCCTCCCAAGTAGCTGGGACTACAGGCGCCCGCCACTACGCCCGGCTAATTTTTTGTATTGTTAGTAGAGACGGGGTTTCACCGTTTTAGCCGGGATGGTCTCGATCTCCTGACCTCGTGATCCGCCCGCCTCGGCCTCCCAAAGTGCTGGGATTACAGGCGTGAGCCACCGCGCCCGGCCCAAAAGTATGTTTAAAGAAGAACATTAAATAATGAAAATATGAAGAAGATAAATAAGGCATATTTATAGAGTATCAGGCACAGCTGAGCAAGAGAAGTCACACAAACATTGCACGCCTGAGCTAAATAGTTTCTCAAGGTCTACCCAACATTCTTTGGAAACTCTCTTAACTCTTTATAGCATCGTTTGAACTATATTTTATGGCCTAAAATTCTGAGCTTAAAGAGTGTCTCATGGACAACCAGAAAATTGCCTAAGACGCTGCCTGGGTGATAATTTATTAATAAAATTGGAGGGCCAGGCACAGTGGCTCACGCCTGTAATCCCAGCACTTTCAGAGGCCGAGGCGGGTGGATCATGAGGTCAGGAGATTGAGACCAACCTGCCTAACACAGTGAAACCCCATCTCTATGAAAACTACAAAAAAATTAGCCAGGCGTGGTGGCACGTGCCTGTAGTCCCAGCTACTCAGGAGGCTGAGGCAGGAGAATCGCTTGAACCTGGGAGGCAGAGGTTGCAGTCAGCTGAGATTGCACCACTGCACTCCAGCCTGGGCGACAGAACAGTCTCCATCTCAAAAAATAAAAGTAAAAAAATAAAAGGTGCAAATATATGCTAAACATGAAGACTCAAATTTCAAAATGCCATATTCCTCAGCTACCTTGAGAAGGGGAGGAAGCAGACAGGCCAGTGCAATTCTTTGTTATGCAACTTTGGCCAAAGCATCCCATTTTAAAAACTGCTAACCTTCGAAGCTAAGAGAGTTATGAGCAATAGAGAAGGCTGGGGAATCCCCAAGGAAATCATTTGCTAGATCCCTCTCATTATAAATTATAAACTTAGCAAATGTGCAGGATGTGAGAGAGCTATCTAGACACCAGTAAAGCTCACCATGTTTCCTCAGAATCAAAGGCCTCCCTGAACCCATGAGAACTGTAGGCCAAGACTGGAATCCCCAAGAAGTCTCTGGATCGAAGGAGAGATGAGAGAGTTGGACCTGAGGGCATTAGTAGATTTGTGCGCTGTACAATTGCAGCCAGCCAACCATGAGAACCCAGCACCAACCTCATGAAAGCATCAGACTTCCTGTGCCATTCTCCAAAGTTCAGCACAGGTTGGTGAACTTCACCTGTCCGGGGGCAGACAGCAAGTATTTTAACCTGTGTAGGCCAAGGGGCCACATGCCATCTCTGTCTCAGCCACTCAATTCTGCAACTGCAATGCAAGCGCACCCATGGACAATAGGTAAACAAATGTGTGGATTGGGCCTACGGGTTGTAGTTTGTGGACCCCTGGACTATAGAAAGGATAAATTTCGAGGTGATTGGCCTGGCATGGAAGATTCCCCACTCTAAGGCTCTAATCAGCTGTCATAGTCTTATAAATCATTATTCCTTTTAACAGAGAACCATCAAGACCCTGTTAAATTGCAGGCACTTTGCTAAGAAGTGGGCCTACATGGTGAAAAAGCCAAGGTCCCTCCACTCAGGGGGCCTGCCATTTCCTGCTGAATCAATAATTACATACACCAACTGTTCATTGGTTTCAGTGGTAACGAATCTGTAAAGAAGACATACGATGGGCTATATCTTCTTATAACAAGCCCAAAAGACAACCTTCGCTTTCATTTATTTATTCAAGTCTTACCCTTTCTTCACATCTTAGTGTGTGAAGTCCAATTTCCTACCCAAATCTTCCTCAGGTAATTCAGGCCTCATTCATTGGTCAACAAATCTTTTTCAGGCACCTATGCTGAACACTGGGGATAGCAGTAAACAAAAAAGATACATTCCTGCGGGGTTTACGTTCTAGTCCTCAAGCATGTCCTCTCCTTTGATGCGCACATGTGTTCTTCCTGTATATACCACTCGTGGGCATCTAGCAGGATCCAACACGTATTTGATGCCAAGGCCCTCCCTGCCTCCCTTTCCAAATAAGCTGTAGAGGATGTTCTATTTCATGTTGTATCTATCTATCCCTCAGAGCCTGATAGAGGGGTGAAGAAAAGTATCAGGGGAGAGGAAGCAGGAACTTGGAACCTTCCAAAGCAATAATCCTCGGTTCACAGTAAATAAATAAACAGACACAAAAATTGGTTTAATAAATATAAATGGGCAGTGTCTTCCTCCATTTAGGCTACTATAATGAAATACCTGAGACTGGGTGACTTGTACACAATAGACATTTATTTTTTCACAATTCTGGAGGCTGGGAAGTCCAAGATCAAGGCGCTGGCAGGTTTGGTGTCTGGGGAGGGCTGTGCTCTGCTTTCAAGATGGTGCCTTGTTACTGCGTCCTCACTTGGCAAAAGGCCGAAGCTACAGTAATTCCTTCCTGCCCTTTAATACGGCACTGATCCATCCATATTAATGGCTCTGCCCTCATGACTTAATCACTTCCCAAACGGACCCAACTCTTCATGCCACCACAATGGGTATTAAGTTTTAACACAAGAATTTTGACGGCCATTCATTCCATAGCAGAGAGTAGGTGACATTTAAAAGCAGATAAAGGGAGGTACATTTATCTAACCTGGGGGCTGGCAACCTTTTTCTGTAAAGGGTCAGATAGTAAATAGTCATAAGGCTTTGAGGGTCACTTATGTCTCTGCCACAATATTTTTATTTTTTTTAATGGACATTTAAAGATGTAAAAAACATTTGTAGACCAGCAACACCAGGGCAAGGAGCCAGTGGTTTGCCAGCCCCTGTTCTAGATAGACTGAGCAATATAATGGAAAGCTGTCAGTTATTAGCTTAATCTGGGAAGGCTCTGGGGAGGAGGTGGTGGTATTTTGGGATCTTGAGTGCGAGCTGAGACTTGGCTGGACCATGAGGTAGCAGGAGAGCAGGATGACCTCATGGAAAGGAGCCGGGCTGAGTGTCAGCAGACCTGAGTTGGAGTCCTGGCTCTACTGCTATCTGTGTGATTTCGGCCAAGTCGCCCCCGTGCCTCCAGTAACTTCTGTGAGTTATTGCCATGAAAAATGAGCAGAAAAAGCAACTTATTGCGAGAATAAGATGAGATCATATCAAGGCATTTTGGAAACTGACAAGCATCCCAGCAAGACCTTGATAAAATTAGTAAAAGCCAAAAATGTAAGCTAAACTTGAAGATTCCAAATTCGAAATGTCACATTATTTAGCTAGCAAGAGAGGAGGCGAAATGTGAGAGTCAAATATGATTCTTTATTGTACAGCTTTGGCCAAAACAGCTATTTTATAAGCTCCAAACCTTCAGAAGATAATAAAGTTGTGAGCAATAAAGACAGCTGGGGATCCCTGCAGAGGTTGCACAGAGACCATCAGTATGATATCCCAAGTGTGAAGAGCAGCTCCAAACCCACAAATGGTCTCCCGCACAAGCCCTTGTCTTTGCAGCCCAAGTGAATGATGCCTCCCTAGTTTCGAGCTCTGCCACAATCAGCAGGGCACCCCAATGCAAGGATGCTCTTGGAGGTGTGGCCTGGGAGAGGCAACCTGCTGATCCTTGGACAGGGAAAAAATAAAAGGCAGGAAAATAGAGCCAGGAGAAAGAACAACTTGTGGTTTAACTGACTCCTAGCTGGCAGGGCCTGTTATGGCCCCTCTCCTCCTCCCAGTAAAACAATGTTAAAGACAAAGAAAATCCCAAAGCTGAAGATTTCTTGGAAAGTTAACATTGGGAACGTTGGAACCATCCATTAATAGATTTTGAAAGGACTATCTACTGAGATGGCTGGTAGAGTGGGTAAGAAAGACAGTTGATGGGCTGGGCGCGGTGGCTCACACCTGTAATCCCAGCACTTTGGGAGGCCGAGGTGGGTGGATCATGAGGTCAAGAGATTGAGACCATCCTGGCCAACGTGGTGAAATCCCATCTCTACTAAAAATGTAAAAACATTTAGCTGGGCATGGGTGGTGCGCACCTGTAGTCCCAGCTACTAGTGAGGCTGAGGCAGGAGAATCGCTTGAACCCAGGAGGCGGAAGTTGCAGTGAGCTGAGATTGCGCCACTACATTCCAGCCTCGCAACAGAGCGAGACTCCATCACAAAAAAAAAAAAAAGACAGCTGATGGTCTGCCCACTCACGTTCACCGCATGAACAGAGGCTGCCATCAGTCCAAGCAACAGTAGGAAAGCCCTTCTGACTTCCCTTCTCTCGGCAGCCCTACTCAGAACTATGTGCTGAATTGCATTCCCTGAAAAAAGATAAGTGGAAGTCGTAACCCCTAGAACCTCAGATTGTGAACTTATTTGGAGATCGGGCCTTAAAAGAAGTCACCACGTTAAAATGAGGCCATTACGGTGGGCCCTAATTCAATGACTGTTGTCCTTATAAAAGGGTAAATTTGGACACTGAGACAGATGTGCACAGAGGGAAGATGATGTGAAGGGATGCAGGAAGAAGGGAGAAGCATGTGAATATGAAGCAATACATCTACAACCAAGAAACACCGAAGATCTCCATCAGAACAACCAGATGCTAGGAAAAAGGCCTGGAACAGATTCTCCCTCACAGCCCACTGATAGGACCAGCTCTGCCAACATCTTTATCTCATCTCGGACTTCTGGCCTCCAGAACTGTGAGACGATGAATTTCTGTTGTTTTAAGTCACCCCGTGTGTGGTACTTTGCTATGGCAGCTCCAAAAAAACAATTCACTTGGGTCCTTAAGGTTACTACCAATGGCAGCTCTTTCTTCACTGTGCAGGGAATGCTTTAGAGGCGGCCAGAATACTCCTTTGCCAACTCCACTCATAGGCAGCAAAAGGACTGTTGAGAACACACCAACCCAGACCAATTGGGTTGCTCATAATTTCCAGTTTATTTTGTGAATACCCAGCAAATTCCAATAATTAGAAATCTAGGAAGGACCTAGGCGTGCTGCACCCCAACCAGTTTCATTTCCTGATATCTATTACAATGAAAGCACATCTCAAATCAAATTCTAGCACACATAAAAATATGGGCTAATGGGGAGAAACAAAAACAGACCACAACTTGAAGTCTCAGCTCTCTGTGCTTTAGGCAATTTAACAAGTGCTTAACATGAAATTTTCACTCAAGGTAAATACTACGATGCAAGAGGCTGAATTCTGTTAAACATCCAGTCTGATCAGGTGATGTAATCTTCCATTAGGCGAGAGGCTCAGATCTGAACCAACTCCTAGTCCAAGGAGCCACCACAGACCTGACTAAAGCAATACATATCTGAAAAATAAAACCATCAAAGGAACTGAGGAAATTACTAAAGTATTACTCCTAAAGAGATGTACACCCAGACAGTTTTATTATCAAGTCAGTTCAAACTTTCAAGGAACAGATAATCCCCATGCAATATAAACTGTTCCTGAATAGTAAAAAAATAAAATAAAATTTAAAGTCTCTCCTACAAGGAAGTATAATCTTAATACCAAAATCTCACAAAGATAGTACCCACACACACAAAAAAAAACCTATAGAAAAAGCCAATTAGGAACACAAATGTTTAAGTGCTAAATAAAATATACGACAACTGAACAAAATTGTATACTAAAAGACCATCCATCATAATAACTAGATTTATCCGAGGAATGCTGACGTATTTTAATATTGGGAAATCTATTAACAAAATACAGATAGGCATGCAAAAATCTCAGTAGACACTAAAAAGGCATTTGTTAAAATGCTACACATATTCAGAATAAGAACTCAGAGAAAACTGCAAACAAAAAATGATCTTCTCAACATGGCAAAGATGATTTGTCTTAAACAAATAAGTCATATCTTAAGAGTCAAACACTGGCCACTTTCCTAATAAAATCAGGGAAAATACTATTACATTATTTAACACTTTTATGAAAATCTGGCCAATTAAATGAGATATAGAAGAGAAGTTGGTTTATAATCATTGCAAAGGAAAAGCAAATTACTAATTGATTTGAAATATGATTATATACCTGGAAAATCTAGTAAATAACTATATAATTATGAGACCTTAATAATGTGTCCAGATAATATAAGTAAAAATACAAATCTATAGATTTCCCATATAGCAGCTACGAGTTCTTAAATAACATGACGAAAAAGATTATATTCACAATAACAAAAAGTATTTTGGAAATGCCAAATAGGAAGTATATAGATTCCATATAAAGAAAACTATCAGATATGACTGAGGCCTGTAAAAATAGTGGCTAGCAGCATTTCATAGACTCTTCCAACTTTCCATAAGCATTAGGCGAACAGGGGCCATGCTGGTTTCCATTCTGATTAGATCTGCAATGCCTAAAACAGGACCCAGTACACAATGCATGTCCATACTAGTCAGCTCTCTCTGAGTTTTGGCTGACACACTGGATTGTTTTCATTCAGGGACCAGGATGAGAGAGTGGCCCCTATTTGGACATGCTTTTCCTAGAGCAGAGAAAAGGACAGTGACAGACTGTGCAATGATGCTGTAAGCAAGACACTTCGATGTGGCATACATCTCTTCTGATCACAGTCTATTGGCCAAAGCAAGTCACATGGCAGAACCAGATTTCTTTGAGGTGAGAACAAATAATCCTCTCACTGGGAGGGGCACACAAAATTTAAAATGTTTTCCAATAAATACATAGTCAGTGTGCAATGAAAACAGATGGAAGAAGTCTTCCATAAATACATATTGAGGAGTATATAAAGGAAGACACAAAGATACAGAAAAATAGGAACTCACCTACCAATGATAACCAAGGTTGAATTAATGTTAGAATAGGGCCAAAATTTCCCCTACAACACCAATCAAACCAGGCTAGGTAAAATACAGACACCTTTTGCTTCCTGATGTGCCTGTCCTTTCAACATTTTAGAGAACACAACTAATGAAACGTAGGGAGATGCTTCATCAATTCCACCAATGAAGTAGAGACAGCAAAAAACTTGGCAACACATGAAGAAACTGACGAAACTATAGTTGCAGTGGGAGTCATTCATATAACATCTTCAGGCTTTTCCAGTTCAAATAGACCAAACACACATACACATGTATGCAGGAAGAGAAAAAGATATAGAGAATTTGAATAACACATTAATATGTTTGATTTAATAGATGTATATAAAACTTCAGATATACTCAGGAAACACGTATTCTTTTCAAGTGCCGTGGAACATTAACAAAATATGTTCATATATTAAGCCACAAAGAAAATCTTACTATTTTCCAAAAAGTAGAAACAATGCAGACTGCATTCTCACATTCTCTAACCACAATGTAATAAACCCAGAAATTCATAACAGAAGAATTTTTTAAAAACACTAGAAATGTCAAATGCTCTTAAATAACTCTTGAGACAAAGAAGAAATAAAAACTACAAGTACAGCTTATTTAAAAAATTATGACAAAGAAGAACAGAACATGTAAAATATAGGGGCTGTGGCCAAAGATATACTGAGGAAAATTAATAGCACTGAGATTTTATTATTAAACAAGACAGACAGAAACTATGAGAATGAAGTATCCAATTCAATAAGCTAAAATAGAACAAAAAATAAATCTAAAAAATGCAGGTAGAGGGAATAGACGAAGATAAAATTATTTTTTAAATGTATTTAGTAAAACTAAAAAGCATTTAAATTGATTTTTAAAACTTGGTTTTTTAATAAAAATTATATAATAGAACAAGTTCTGGACAAGGTTAATTGCACACATAGGGAATGGCTAAAGACCCCTTATTAAATAAGCATATATTACTTTTATATCAGAAAAAAAGTGAAGTTACTTTTTAAAAAGCCAGTGCAAAAATACAAATATGAAGCATTAGGAATATGAACAATGTAACCACAATCATAAAAAAGAGATTACACTGAATTCATAAAAAAATTATTAGTAACTATAGGCTACTAGATTTGAAAAGTATATGTTCTCAAAAATATTAATTCTTAAAAATTTCCCTATAAGAAGAAAAAAACTTGAATAAATCAAAAATGACAGAAAGAATGATGGGGTGTTTTTTTTTTGTTGTTTTGTTTTTTTTTTGTTTTTTTTTTGTTTTGTTTTGTGTGTGTGTGTGTGTGTGTGTGTGTGTGTGTGTGTGTGGAATTTTAACAACTATTCCCCAAATGGCACCAGAGGCAAATTGTTTTACAGATTAAATTTTTCAAACTTTTAAGGAACATGTATTCTGTACATGTTAAAGTTTGCCAACATATTATAAAACAAAACGTGGAAAACCTCAAAATTTATTTAGTGGACCTGGCATAACATGATACAAACCCTGAAGAGATGAGATCTGTGAACACACCACAAAGTGCTACCCGGCTATCAGAAACAGCAACACAATGGCTCTCAGACACATAGGATGTAGTCTAAAAAGTGACAACAGAGTGAGATCTACAACAGAAAAAAAATAACAATATAGGCCACACGATAATACACATTCAAAATGATACAGTCAAATAAACAAATGCATATTTAAAATGTTAAAATAGTTGCTTATGGGAGCTGGAAAGAAAGAGAATGGAGATGGGGTAGAGGAATAAATGAGAATAAATAAACAAACATAAATATTATAAGCAGATAAATAATATGCTTCAAAATAGGTCAGTGCAAGAGACTAGAAAGCCGAGAAACACCCAGATTGGTATGACGAGTTAGTACCACATTGTCTTCATTTTAATATTTCTGAAATCAGGATGTGACTCAAGAATTTTGGCCGGCACAGTGGCTCACACCTGTAATCCCTGCACTTTGGGAGGCCGAGGCAGGTGGATTACCCGAGGTCAGGAGTTCAACACCAGCCTGGCCAACATGATGAAATCCCCTCTCTACTAAAAATACAAAAATTAGCTGGGCATGGTGGCAGACACCTGTAATCCCAGCTACTCAGGAGGCTGAGGCAGGAGAATTGCTTGAACCCGGGAGTTGGAGGTTGCAGTGAGCCGAGATCATGCCATTGCACTCCAGCCTGGGCGACAGAGGGAGACTCCATCTCAAAAAAAAAAAAAAAAAAAAAAGAATTTCAACTTGCTGTGGTTTCTAAGTCAGGGATGAATCTCACAGTCATTTGCATCTGAGAATCAAGGAAATAATCCTACGACATTCCAAATCAACTGAGAGAGAACGGTTAAGTGAATAAATGGTTCTAGGACAATAAGTTAAACTTTTAGGAAAAAAAATGTTTAAGGTTAAATTACTTCCTGACACTATATGGCAAAATAGATGTCATATGGTCTAAGAAAATAAATTTGAAAAAAAAAAAAAAGACAGAACACATGTCCTCATTATCATAAAACTACATTGTCCACCTGTGACCATATCATAGATATTTGGCACTTTTTGGCCACCTAGAAATGGAATACCTTTTCCAATGTTAGGAAATGTTGCCATTATATGACATAGGATGCAGGCTCTTCCACGGCACACACCAGAAAGTACCTAGTAATACTGAAATTGTGAAACAGAGTATTGCTATGCTCATAAAATTGACTATTGTACACCACTACAAGTCAGGTTTTAGAAAAATAGCTAAAAGTATAAGAAACTATTTTAAGCTATAATGTTCGGCTAAAAAACAAAATGTAATCAAGTTTTAAAATATATACTCACACATGCATACACACATAGGCACATACATAATTACATTAAAAATGACTGGCCGGGTGCGATGGCTCATGCCTGTAATCCCAGCACTTTGGGAGGCTGAGGCAGGTGGATCACCTGAGGTCAGGAGTTCAAGACCAGCCTGACCAACATGGTGAAAGCCCATCTCTACTAAAAATACAAAAATTAGCCATACATGGTGGCAGTCACCTGTAATCCCAGCTACTCGAGAGACTGAGTAGGAGGCAGGAGAATTGCTTGAACCCGGCAGGCGGAGGTCGCAGTGAGCCGAGATTGCGCCATTGCACTCCAGCCTGGGTGACAAGAGCGAAACTCCGTCTCAAAGAAAAAAATCACAAAAGTATTAACAGTAGTCACTATTGAGTGGCAGGATTTGGGATAAATTTTTACTGTCTTCTATATAATTTGCTAAATGTTAGCTGAACTTCCTCATCATCTGCCCATACGTAAATGGGTTAGAGAAGTAATTGTCTCAACTGGCCAGCAACTTACGGCCGAGCCTGTGTGCAAGATGTACTCAAATAGAGAAAAAGAGTCGTTAGCTGAATAAATCAGATTCTCTCTCTGAATCGTTTGAACTGAAAAATGTCAGACAAATGATATGTGGAAAGAGAGGCCATGAGGTAGAACAGGGCTGTGTGTGAGTCACAGCAAACCAAAAATACAAGAAATGAGAAGTTATGATGTGAGAAGAAGCTACCAGGTAGAGAAAATGGAGATTGGTTAGTAGTGGTGGGAGGAGAAGTAAGAGACAGAAAGGAAAGCAACCTAGGCCGAATAAGTGAGTTACATTAATAGGGGGAGCTTTAGAGAAAAAATCTATGAATTTCATCTGCTTCAGGCCCTGCAAAGGGCCCAAAATGCACTGGATCTCATACGAGTCCTAGAGACCCAATAAACCCATGGTTATTGGTCTTAGACTAGGCTTATGAAACATCTTTTTCTCTTTCTGATCTTTACAACTAAAAAAAAACACCAAAAAATAAAACAGTTTATAACCTATGAAAAATGTATGTTTTGTAAAAAAATATTAAAAATCTGTAAATCCACTAAAAAAACCCCAGGAAACTCTCCAATGTCAATGTTAACATTAGTTATCTCTAAGTAGTGAAATTGTAAGTGATTTGTTCATTTTTTCTTCTTTATACTTTTGGCATTTTTCAAGTTTTCCACAATGAAATTATAGTACTTTTATAATCATTTATAAAACAAATAAATGCTATTTTAAATGGTATGTGTGTGAATATGTTCCATTGACCTCAGTCTGATAAAAACCCTTCATAAATTTCACTAGTTTCCTTGCTGAACAAAGACCAAGACCTTTGCTGATATGCATCTATTTCCCACATTTTGTACAACTAAATTAAATAACCAAGTGTAGCCGTTCTGGGCTAAAGTGTGTATCCAAGGTCAATAGATTTCCCCTGCAGTGACTGAGTGGATCCAACATACTTAGACTGGTCACCCATTGACTCATCAAGTAAGCATTAGTGTTCTGGAACAGGAAATATGTATCCATTTGAGCAGTGAAGGCATTTGTTTACAGAGCAATCAGCTGGATCCCAGTATCCCTTAAATAATACTGCAGAAAACAGGACTTCACAATGGAGTACTCCACCCTTTCCCATGTGACACCTCTTTGGATGTCAGACTTTAAGAACCCCATTCCATCAGTATCCTTTTGCAGAAACCCTATCTTCCAAAGGGGAGAAGCAACCCAAAGCAAACAGATAATCTGAAAGAGAAAGAAACTCAAAGAGGGCAGAGCAGGTGGAAGGAAGTGCTCAATGTCTCTCCACCCACCAAAAACTGCCTCCACCACTTTGCCCACCATTCCACCCCTGGTCCCAGTGGAATGACCTCAACTCTTATCAAAGTTTCTTCTTATTGGCATGAAATGGACATGGTGGAAACACGAAGAGATTCTAACACTAAACTGTGTGAAACCTTGAGCAAGACATTGAATCTTTTTGAGTTTCACCTGTAAAATGAAGAGGTTAAATTAGACATGAGGTGATCTAGAATTGTTCTGCCAGCCCAAGGATCTAGGCATAAGAAACTGTAATAAAAAGCAAGACTGCCTACCAGGAAGGACACAAATGTCATGATGCTTCCCAGGCCTGCTGTCTCTGGGAAAATATATATATATATATATATATATATATATATATTTTTTTTTTTTTTTTTTTGAGACGGAGTCTTGCTCTGTCGCCCAGGCTGGAGTGCAATGGCACAATCTCGGCTCACTGCAAGCTCCGCCTCCCGGGTTCACCCCATTCTCCTGCCTCAGCCTCCCGAGTAGCTGGGACTACAGGCGCCCGCCACCACGCCTGGCTAATTTTTTTAAATTTTTATATAAAGTAGAGACGGGGTTTCACCACGTTAGCCAGGATGGTCTCGATCTCCTGACCTCGTGATCCGCCCGCCTCGGCCTCCCGAAGTGCTGGGATTACAGGCATGAGCCACCACGCCTGGCCGTCTCTGGGAATATTTTAAGAGACTGGGATGGCACTCCTGTAAACACAGACACCCTTCCTTTACCACTCAGCGAAGGAGCTCCTTGCACACTTACACTGTCCTTTGCCTACAGATCAGCTGTTGGAAATACATTGCCAAGAGTTGGGAGTTTGGGACATTCAGACCACCCTCCAAACTCTGAGTTTTGATTTTACGAAAATTTTTGATATGTGTTTTCGAGACACATCTAGCAAAATAACTCTCCAGTTCTAAAAAGTCCTGAACTTTAAAACGCTTCTCAAGTACCAACTCATGCTCCAAAGATAAATTTGAAAGGAGTGGAGTCGAAGTGAATCATAAACATGTGGATTAAATTTCCCACAAGTAACCAACCTTTTGAAAACTGGGAGAAATATGCTTGGGGGAAAAAAAAAGACTTAATTCTACAAAACTCAAAATCATCTCTAAAAGAATTGAGACATTTGCCAAGTGCTTCACTAAAGAGGGATGCACTTCAACTTAATCTCCTTTGATCTGATCTGCAGAGTCAGGGTAATCCAAATGGCTGGCTATTCGCTATATTTTGCAGAACCTTGTGAATGCCTCCCATCATGACACTGCACAGCCTCAGTGTCCCCAGATGACGCATGAGTACAGAGCTGTGAGCCCACCCTGGTGTGCAGTGTGTCAGTCTGTACATCATCCAAGCGTCCCACTCACCTGGGGGCAATTCTCAGCCTCATAACGATCAGCTCAGCTCTAGATTTCTAAATTCAAGATTCTTAGTGATGACATGAGAGATGAAATAGCACCTTCAGGTTTTTAGATTCTGGGAAATGCTTGTCATACCAATGCATTCAGGAGCAGAGCATGCACCCTCACTAGGGTTCCAGTCATCAGAAAATCCTGGCTTTCAATGCAACTAGTTTCATTGCAACTTCCCTCTCTACCTATGCTTATTCCCTGCAGACATTGTTTTCTCCCACAAACTCCTACTAATCTTTATTTTTCTCTATTAGCAAATGACTCATAAGGATTTTTCATTGTCTGTCTCGGTATTCTCATCAACCACTCGCTGCTTAGCCCCCTGAAATCTAGCTCCTGCTCAATATGCCTTGGCCATTCTTTTTCACCTGTAATCTTGTCCCAATCCATTTCTCCCACCTTATTTATTATTCTTTTCTTACTTTGGTCTACCCTCTGACCAAACTGAACTTCCTAGCGTTTCCTTTCCATGCCAGAGGATTTCTCAATACAGCAGATTTACTTGTAACTCCCATCTGCAGAGGGCAAAAATCCCAAGATTCACCCAATTGCCCTTAAATGCGAAGTACATCATAGTAATTATCAGGTTGCCTAAATGCCCATCAGCATTAGACTGGATAAAGCAAATGTAGTACATATACATTGTGGAATAACATGCAGCTGTAAAAAAGAACAAGAGCATGTCATTTGGAGCAATATGGATGGAGCTGGAGACCATTACCCCTGGCAAACTAATGCAGAAACAGAAAACCAAAAACCGCATGTTCTCACTTATTATAAGTGGGAGCTAAATAATGAGAACACATGGACACATGGACACAAAGAGGGAAACAACAGACACTGTGGCCTACTACTGGGGCCTACTTGAGGGTAGCGGTTGGGAGGAGGGAAAGGATTTTTTAAGAAGCCTATTGGGTACTATGCTTAGTACCTGGATGATGAGATAATCTGTACACTAAACCCTTGTGACACCAGTTTACCTACATAATAAACTTGCACATGCACCCCAAACCTAAAATAAAAGTTAAAAGAAAAAAATGGGAAATAAAAAATAACAATAATTACCAGGTTGCTTCTCCTGCTACCCTGCCCCCTCAAAATGTGCTAATTTCTACCTAAATACAAAATGCATTTTGTATTTTTCCTTCATTTACAGCTTTTTTTTTTTTTTTTTTTTGAGACAGAGTGTCACCGTGTCACCCAGGCTGGAGTGCAGTGGTGCGATCTCAGCTCACTGCAACCTCCACCTCCCAGGTTTAAGCAATTCTCGTGCCTCAGCCCCCCAAGTAGCTGGGACTACAGGTGCCCGCCACCACGCCCGGCTAATTTTTTGTATTTTTAGTAGAGACGGGGTTTCACCATGTTAGCTAGGATGATCTCAATCTCCTGACCTCGTGGTCCGCCCATCTCGACCTCCCAAAGTGCTGGGATTACACGTGTGAGCCACCGCACCCAGCCCATTTACAGCTCTTATCACATCACATATTACAATTACATATTACAATTATTCTTACACCTGTAAGTAACAATCACTGATGACAAGGACATTGACCCATGTATTTTTGTATCCCACAAAGGGTCAAGCATCATGTTTTGGTGTTTACTGAAAGAAGAGGGTCCTTTTCTCAGGTCATCAGCCTCCTCAACTATAAAATCGGCAGGTTTAGCACAATGTGCTTCAGAGGAACTTATAGCCCAAAATTTCTTATGGATAAGATCCTGGAATACCAAGTGGGAATACAAACTTGAAATGGTGTCACCAGGTAGAAAGGCAAGCATTGAGATTTGAGGTCCACCAATAAATATTTAATAAAGGTTCTCTCTGCCCTTTAATGGTGGGCTCAGTAAGGCAGGTCTCCTTGCCCATAAGAGTATGAGGAGCCTGAAATTAATAGTGCTGTTTTGTTGAATGAATCATGCACCCCAACTGGACAGGGGGAGATAAGGTGAGAAGGATTCCATTTCGTACAAGAGCAACTCCTCTAAATATCCTCAAATCGATTTCCTAAGAATGAACCTATAAAAGTTGTTTTTCAAGCCTTCCAGATAGACCCAGTCTATTTTATAAACACTTTCTCAGATTTATGTCTGGCCTATAAAAACCAGGCTGGGTCTTTGGTTGAGGGCAGGGAGAATCACATTTGGCTCCAATATCCTGGAGCTACACTAGAATGTTATTTGCTAAGCCAACGCTGGGGGCCTTCTTCTTAGGTGAAACTTCCTTATAAGGAGTCCTTATTTTAGACTTCAATAACTATTCTCACTTTGGAGAGTCTCCAAGATGGACTGTCCATATACCTAGCTCTATAGCCAAGAGAGATACAGTGAGGTCCTCGTTTATTTAGACAAAGCTTTGATAACCAGAATCAACTATTCTTTCTCAGCCTGAGCTTATAGTGCAGCCAAAAGTCTGCAAGGAACAAATGTACTTGTAAAACACAGAGTTTGTGAGCACTCGGAAAAACTGTCACCTGTAAAACTACACAGGCATGTCCTGCCTGAGTCATCTGAGATATAGAAATGAATTTTAATCAAAGAAGGTGGCCACAGTAGGTGTAAGGACTCCTACTGGGGCCACAGAGAGCACATTCAGGTCTTGAGGGAAAATAAACCTCTTCCTGCAGGTCTTGTGGAGGCCAAGCCCAACGGACATTTCAGAAGTGACATGGGAAATATGATTGATAGAATGACAAATGTAACTTAATTCAACGCTCTTCATTTAAATTTTTTTTCTGATATCCTGCCCTGCTCTGTTGTTCATCTTAGTCGGCTTTAATCAGGAACTGTGAACTTTGGAGAAAAATTATTTTTTGAAGTAGCTCAGCAGAAAGAAGAACTTGAACCCCATAGTCAAGGGAAAATAAGGACCAAACTGAAGCTTTGCCTTCAGATCTAGATGGGACACTGAGCTCAAGTCACAAACTTTTCTTCCTGCCCCATTCCTAGAATTGGCAGGAGAACATTTAAATACAATAGTGCATAATTATACTAAACAATAAAAAGAGGTGTTCTCAGTAGACCAGAAATTAGTAGAAAATACAGAAAGAGAAACCGCAAGGGTGACTAAATGGTGAGTAGAGCAGCCTCCCTCTGACTTCATCCCCTTCCCCAGCAACCTTCTTGAGTTTTAGGAAAGATCTCTCTCTCTAAGACCCCCTCATCATCTTATTCAAGTTTGAAGACCACAGTTTCAACTGATTACTTATCAGTTCTCTAAAAGACCACCAGGAACAACCATGTCACACCCCTCCTCCCTGTGGATCACAGTCCCTTTCAGGTGTCCAACTGTGCTAAAATGATCCATTATCACTGGAACTCTATTCCCTATATTTTGTACTCTCTCCAGACTGATCCAATTCATCACCATCTCCTTGCCCTCTAACCCCCGTCAGTGTGATCTCTGGAATTCCTGATTATGACCAGCACACTTCCCTATATCCTCAATCTCTTCTCTGAAAGGCCTTGCCTCTTTCCTACCCAGTGGAAACCCAGGTGTCTGCTGAGACTTCTGCAACTCTCTCATGTTGGTGTATTCCTCCCACGCCCAAATGCCAGGACCAAGAAACAGAGTAGGAGTCTTCCTTTCTCCCAGCTGCCTCTTGCAAACCACATTTCCTGCTTCAGAAATTCAGTCTATGTTTGGAAAGACAGCAATTCTCTTCCTCAATCTTTGTCATAGCATGAGTATTTATTTGTTCCATCTCTCTACGTAAAACAGGAAGGATTTGCACAAAAGTGTTAATAGAAAACATTGGCACAGAATGAGATGTATGGTGAGTTTTATGTCTTCTTTGAATATTGTTCTGTTTTAATAAAAATGCACCACTGGCCGGGCGTGATGGCTCACACCTATAATCCCAGCACTTTGGGAGGCTGAGGCAGGCGGATCACTTGAGGTCAGGAGTTTGAGACTAGTCTGACCAATATGGTGAAACTCCATCTCTACTAAAAATAGAAAAAATTAGCCAGGCCTGGTGGTGCATGCCTGTAGTCCCGGCTACTTGGGAGGCTGAGGCAGGAGAATCGCTTAAGCCTGGGTGGCAGAGGTTGCAGTGAGCCAAGATTCTGCCACTGCACTCCAGCCTGGGTGACAGAACAAGACTCCATTTCAAAAAATAATTAATTAATTAATTAAACATATATGCACTACTTTTGTTTACCTTCCTTATTATTTCTTTTTTTATTTAATTTCTTCTTATTACAATGTCTTATTTGTTTAGGTTTTCTCTTTTACTAACTTTTTGAGTCAAATGTTTAATTCATTGATTTTTCAACTTTTTGTTTTTTCTAGCATATAAATCTCTATCTCACATATATTGCTGTGATTGTTGTGTGATTCTAAGTATTTCAGACCTCCTGACATGATTCCTTTTTTAACTACTTCTTGGAAATGTACCTATTAAAAGAATAGGGGTTTTTTATTGATTACTTTTAAAAAATGGTTTCCTATTTTAATGTATGGTAGTCAAAGAATATATTCAGTACAATATCAATTATGTGGTCTTTGTAGTCAGTAAACATAACTGTTCTGTATGCTTGAAAAAAACAATGGAAAGGTTGTTCATGGATATATAAGAACAGACATCAAGTCTTCCTTTGTCTTCTTGATGTAGTAGTTTCTGATACAGATATATTGACATCGATAATTGTGAATGTGTTAATTTTCTTTAGAGTTCTGTTCATTTTCCAATATATGTATGTGTGTGTGTGTGTGTTTTTTTTTTTTTTTTTTTTTTTGAGACAGAGTTTCACTCTGCCGTCCAGACTGGAGTGCGGTGGTGCAATCTCAGCTGCCTGCAACCTGTGCCTCCCAGGTTCCAGCAATTCTCCTGCATCAGCCTCCTGAGTAGCTGGGATTACAGGCACGCACCACCATGCCCAGCTAATTTTTGCATTTTTAGTAGAGACAGGGTTTCACCTTGTTGGCCAGGCTGGTCTTGAAGTCCTGACCTCAAGTGATCCACCTTCCTTGGCCTCCAAAAGTGCTGGGATTACAGGCATGAGCCACCGTGCCCAGCCCATTTTCCCTTATATTTTAAGTCTATATCATTAGACTAGAATTTCTGTAGCTTTCTCATGAATGCTTTTACTAATTACTAGTAATGCTTTTTTATCCACACCAATGCATTTTGTCTTAAAATCAATTTCATCTAATAAAAATTTCACTACTCAAATTTTCTTTGTTTTGTTTTTCCTGGTACATATTTTTGTCGACTTCTTTTTCAAACTTTTGAGCCATGATGTCTGAAATCAATATTTAAGTCAACCAATTAATAATTTCTCTTATAAATAATATGAAACTAAAATTGTTTAATCCAATTTGAAAAGTTTTATTTTAACTAATAAGTTAAGCTATTTATATTTATTATGATTGCTGGTATATTTAGTATGACAGTTGATCCTTGAACAACATGGGGGTTAGAAATGCCAACCCCGTAAAGTCAAAAATCCACATACCAAAATCAACCACCCAAAAACTTAACTGCACACAGCGTACTCTTCACTGAAAGCCTTACTTACAACATTTCAACAGTTGATTAACACATATTTTGTATATGTATTACACACTGTATTCTTACAATAAAGTAAGCTACAGAAAAGATGTTATTAAGAAAATCATGGGCCAGGTGCAGTGGCTCACACCTGTAATCTCAGCACTTTAGGAGGCCTGGCAGGCAGATCACGAGGTCTGGAGATGGAGACCATCCTGGCTAACATAGTGAAACCTCGTCTCTGCTAAAAATGCAAAAAATTAGCCTGGCGTGGTGATGTGTGCCTATAGTCCCAGCTACTCAGGAGGATGAGGCAGGAGAATAGCTTGAACCTGGGAGGCAGAGGTTGCAGTTAGCCGAGATTGCGCCACTGCACTCCAGCCTGGGCAACAGTGAGACACCGTCTCAAAAAAAAAAAAAAAATCATAAGGAAGAGAAAACATGTACTATTCATTAAATGGAAGTGGATCATCATAAAGATCTTCATTCTTGTCTTCACATTGAGTAGGCTGAGGAAGAGGAGGGGTTGGTCTTGCTGTCTCAGGGGTGAGAGAGGTGGAAAAAAATCCACATATAAGTGGACCCACAAAGTTCAAACCCGTGTTGTTCAAGGATCAACTGTACTTCTATTATGTTATTTTGCATTTAAGATTAATGTACTTTTTCTTTGCTTCCTTTTTCTTCTCTCCTGCCTTTTATTAAATTGATTTGGTTTTTTCATTCTACTTTTCCCTTCTACAAGCTTGAAAACTACACGTTCTAATTCATTCTTTTAGATATTTAAAATGCATACTTGACATTAAAAAAGAAAATCAGGCCAATCAAAATCTCCAGACCAGAAACAGTTCAGTTCTGATCTCCTTTTCCAAGCTACCATTTTATGTTTAATGTATTAATTTTTCCTTTTTTTTTTGAGACGGAGTTTTTGTTCTTGTCACCCAGGCTGGAGTGCAGTGGTGCGATCTTGGCTCACTGCAACCTCTGCCTCCCGGGTTCAAGCGATTCTCCTGCCTCAGCCTCCCGAGTTGCTGGGAGTACAGGCGCACACCACCGTGCCTGGCTAATTTTTGTATTTTTAGTAGAGACAGGGTTTCACCATGTTGGGCAAGCTGGTCTCGAACTCCTGACCTCGTGATCCACCCGCCTCGGCCTCCCAAAGTGCTGGGATGACAGGCATGAGCCACAGTGCCCAGCTTTTCCTTGTTTTTAATCCTCTCCTCCAAATTAGCTCCTTATTTATACATCATTGTTTATTTCAAGTTATCAAAATGTTCGCCAATTTGTTTCGTACTAGTGTAACTGCAATTCCACTCCAGTCCTCTGTGTTCAATTTCCTCCTTCTGAAGCTGATACGTTAGTATTTATTTCAGCAAGAGTCAGTGAGGGTTCTTCTGAAAATGTTCTTATTTGGCCATGATGTTGAATGATACTTTTAGCTGGGTATAGAATTCTAGGGTAATGGTTGTTTCCATTAGCACATTGAAGACATAATTACATTGTATGTTGGCATATTGCTTATGAAAAGTCTGCCTATCTCATAGTTGTCCTTCTTTAGGTATTTCATCTTTCATTCTCATTGTTTTTGGATTTTTTCCTTGGTCTTCAATGTTAGTTTTAACCTAATGCTTCTAGGTAGAGCTTACTTTTTAATGTTGCTTGAGACTCTACACGCCATTTAAATCCAAAAATCCAATAATTTAAATCCAATAATTTAGGTCTTATTTTCAAACCTAGAAAAGTGTTTGCTATTCAAAAGAAACTATCATCAGAGTGAACAGGCAACCTACAGATTGGGAGAAAATTTCTGCAACATACCCATCTGACAAAGGTCTAATATCCAGAATCTACAAGGAACTTAAACAAATTTACAAGAAAAAAACAACCCCATCAAAAAGTGGGCAAAGGATATGAACAGACACTTCTCAAAAGAAGACATTTATGCGGCCAACAAGCTTATGAAAAAAAGCTCATCATCACTGGCTTTAGAGAAATGCAAATCAAAACCACAGTAAGATACCATCTCACGCCAGTTAGAATGGCGATTATTAAAAAGTCAGGAAACAACAGATGCTGGCGAGGCTGTGGAGAAATAGGAACATTTTTACACTGTTGGTGGAAATGTAAATTAGTTCAACCATTGTGGAAGACAGTGTGGCAATTCCTCAAGGATCTAGAACCGGAAATACCATTTGACCCAGCAATCCCATTACTGGGTGTATACCCAAAGGATTCTAAATCATACTACTATAAAGGTACATGCACCCGTATGTTTACTGCAGCACTATTTACAATAGGGAATAATAGGAGCCAACCCAAATGCCCATCAATGATAAACTGGATAAAGAAAAGGTGGCACATATACACCATGGAATACTATGCAGCCATAAAAAAGAATGAGTTCATGTCCTTTGCAAGGACATGGATGAAGGTGGAAGCCATCATTCTCAGCAAACTAACAGGAACAGAAAAACAAACACCATTTGTTCTCACTCATAAGTGGGAGTTGAACAATGAGAACACATGGACACAGAGGGGGAACATCACACACCGGGGCCTGTCAGAGGGTGGGGGCCAAGGGGAGAGAGAGCATTAGGACAAATGCCTAATGCATGCAGGGCTTAAAACCTAGATGACTGGTTGACAGGTGCGGCAAACCACCATGGCACATGTAAACCTATGTAACAAACCTGCACGTTCTGCACATGTATCCCAGAACTTAAAGTAAAATTAAAAAAAAAAAAGAAAGAAAACTGTGTGCCCTTGTCTCTTTAAATATCGCCTATTCTTCATGATCACTAGTTTCTCCTTTTAGAGCTCCTACAAAATACATGCTGGGCCTTCTCACACCAAGTCATTTAGTTTATTTTTTATAATTTTAATCTTGTCATAGCTCTGTGCTATGTTCAAGGTGGTTTCCTCAGATCTTCCCTCTAAATCAAGCTGATTTTAACTGATCCTTTGTTTGGCTGTTTGTTTTTAAATTTTGGCTACTATGTTTTTCATTTCTTGAAGTTCTACTTGGTTGTTTTCACATCTGAATGGTTTTAAAAGTGCATTCATTTTTTTTTTTTTACTTCTTTTACTTTTAATAGTTTTAAACACACTTACTTTATAGTATCTTTTAGATTTTTCCATCTTGTCTAAATATTATGTTACTTCTCCTGTTTATAATACTTGCTTTTTCAAAAACTATTTGAGGCCGGGAGCAGTGGCTCACGCCTGTAATCCCAGCACTTTGGGAGGCCAAGGCGGGCAGATCACGAGGTCAGGAGATGGAGACCATCCTGGCTAACGTGGTGAAACCCCGTGTCTACTAAAAATACAAAAAATTAGCCGCGCGTGGTGGCAGGCGCCTGTAGTCCCAGCTCTCGGGAGGCTGAGGCAGGAGAATGGCATGAACCCGGGAGGCAGAGCTTGCAGTGAGCTGAGATCGTGCCACTGTACTCCAGCCTGGGCGACAGAGCGAGACTCTGTCTCAAAAAAAAAAAAAAAAAAAAAAAAAAAACTATTTGAGTGGCTGGCTAGATGTCAAGCATTGCTGTTGGGATTTGGAATGCACCCATGAAGTTCTCTGCCTTCGTGGGGCTTGCATTCTAGTGGAGGAAGAGAGACAGTACATAAGATATGTAAAATGTATAGGATGACAGATGATGATAAACCTATGGAGACGATAAACCAGGAAATGTGGAGGGAATAAAGGGAGGCTGGAATTTTTAAATAGGGCTGCCACGGAAAAGACCTGTGTCCAGTGGGGAATGAGCGAAGAAATCCTACAGTTACCGAAGAGAAGAACATTCTTGGCAGAGGGTACCATGAGTGCAAAAGCCCTAAGACAGGATAATTCCTGGCCTGTTGGAGCAACAACAGGATGCCAGTGTGGCCGGAGGGAAGAGAGCTGAGGAAAGATGAGATCAGAGAAGACAATAATGAAGGGCAACAGAGCCCATGTAAAGACTTGGGGTTTACCTTAAGTGATATTGGAAGCCATTCAAAGGCTTTGATTAGAAAAGTGACATGATCTGATTTCATTGTTAAAGGATAACTCTGGCTACTTCGTTGAGAATAGACTGAAATTGAGCAAATGCAAAATTAGGAAGGCCAAAAGAACTATTATAATAAAACAGTCAGGAGATGATAGCAGCTTAGAGCAAGAGAGTAACTGGGGTAGTGAGAAGTAGTCAGATATATTATGAAGGTAGACCCAACAGGGATTTGCTGAAAACTTGGATGTGAAATGTCAGAAACACAGACAAGAATAGTTTTTGGCCTGAGCTGTTGGGAGAATAGAGTCACCGTTTACAGAGACAGGAAAAACTGCAGGAAGAGAGCTTCGGGGAAGATGCAGAGAGCCTTTTTGGACACATTGTATTAGTTATCCATTTCTGCATAACAAGTTATCCCAAAATTTAGCAGGTTAAGCAACAAATCTTTGTTATTGTATGGGTCTAAGAGTTGAGAATCTGACCTCAGTTTACCCAGGTGGTTCTGCCTAGGACGGCTCGTGAGATGACAGTTAAGCTTAGACCAGAGCTGCCATTATCTGAAAATGTAACTGGGGCTGGAGGATCTACCTCCAAAGTTACATGCCTGCCAAGTTCCTGCTGGCTATTGGTTGAAGGCCTTAGTTCTTCTCCACGTGGGGCTGCCAGCGTGTCAAGATATGGTAGCTGGCTTCCACAGAGCAAGTGATCCAAGATAGGACGAGGTCAAGGGCAACCAAAATAAAAACTACAGCATCTTTTATAAACCAGTCTCAGAAAGGACTTGATATCACTTTTGCTCTACTCCATCAATCACACAGACCAACCCTTAGTATACTGTGGGAGAGACTACACAGGATGTGAACAGCAGGACCCAAGATTCCTGAGGGCCATTTGGGAGGCTGGCTAACACACACGTTATATTTGAGATGCTTATTAGACTCCTCAGAGGCACAATCTTGAAAATAATCTAGAGTTGAGAACCATCTGGAATTAAGGGGAGAGGTTCAGACTGGAGATATAAATGCAGAAATCAACAGTATAAAGAGGACATTTCAATAATACTCGATGACGTCATCTAAGGAGTGAATACAGATGTTTTTAAAAGTATACGCAAACTCCCTTCCGTAGTGTAACCTTCTTCATATTTTCCTCTGTTGTGCTCTGAGTTGGAAAACTAACCCTTATAGAGCAGTATTGAATTTGAAACTCGAATCCCAGGCAGAAGGGTGACTTTCTGCTTCTCCCACCCATGGGCCAACAGAAAGGGTGACTTTCTGCTTCTTCCACCCAAGGGCCCAGCTCCCTTGCTGCTTTCTCTAGACTAGTAGCTGGAGTGGTTTTAACAAAGGAGCAGCAATTGCAGGCTCCAGGCTTTATGCCTGAAGGTCTGCTCTAGCTCATCTGCTCAGCGAGCAGACAATCACAAACAACCAAAACCTGCAGCCCACATCCCCAGGAGCCTCGGTATGAGTCTCACATCCTCAGAGGGCAGGTGTAGCATCAGTTCCCACTTACTCTCCTGGCCTGGATCTATCTCTTAACTTCTGTCGCCTTATGATATCCTCTTCTTTCTTTCAACTTGTGGAGGGATTATAAAACATCATTTGCAAATAATTGACCCAGAATTTCTCTGTGTTCCTGATAGGAAAGGAATGTCTCGTACAAGTCAGGCAGATCTGCCATTTTGTTGGGAAGTCTTCCACATATTGCTTTTCTATTAAGAAAAATACATGAAGTGTATATATAAACTTGCTGTTAAGAGGTTCGATAAAACGTTTTCTCCTTCTAGCTCTCTAGTAAAATTCTTCTGCCCGGTGTTCTCCTCATATGACTCCAGGCACCTTCCTAAATGTTTCCCATCCTAAAAGGCATATTTCAAAAGTCATATTCTCACAATCCCTTCCCTTTGTTACTCTAGAATTAAGCAGTGATTCTCATCTCTGAAGTAATTAAAAACAAAACAAAACCAAAGAGGTATTTCAGCCCTTCTACGGAATTGACTCTGGTTCTTTTACTTTTTCTGTTCAGGTCACATATGTGTTGAAATTCCTTTCATAAACTATACTTACTTACCCAAAACTCTATCTTTTTTATGTAGCTATAAATGGTAAGAACCAAAGTTTCGCCTATCAAAAGTTTTCAGACAAAACATCATGAATAACAGCTTAACCTTTTATTCAGCTGAGAAAACATTCTTTTTGTTTATCATTAGAGAAAAATGGTCTTTTATCTTTACATATTGAAACAAAATTGTGAATCTATTTGGATAATTAGGCTCTATTTAGTTGACTGAACAGAATCTCCAAGCCCAGTTACAACTAGCAGTAACTAAACATCAGGCCTGACACACAGTGCCTGCGAGCTTCCCTCGTGGTCTAGCCAATCATCACTCCTTTTCAACAAACCATCTAATTTTAAGGTGTCTCTCCTCCTCTTTCAGGCTGCTCCATGTGGCATCTGCAGAACTTTGAGATGTGCTGGCGACCTCCTTCCATGGCCTTAACACAAGGAGGGTTCCAGAGTTCCAGATGTGACATTGCCCCTCCAGGCTGCAAAATGCCAGAAGCAGAGTGAAGATGGGGGGGACCAGCACCCCTCTTGCTCCTGACAAAAGCCCCCCTCCAGGGCCCCATGACACTCCAGCAGCCTCATCTGCTTTGGAAGCCACGATGGTTTGTATCCCTGTTGAAGTCAGTCACTGTGGGAAGCCCAAGGTTCTCTGCTCATCCCTTGTCACTGTCATTCTGGACATCTCTCACACGTTTTTACCTCTCTGGACTCATCCAATATCAGCAGACTCCCTGTATTCTGAACCTTCCTCTGAATGTTCCCATCACCCTGCTTTGACTAAAACCTGGCTCACCCCAAGGACACAGTTTTCCCTGCAAACCTCTGAAGTGCTTATTGCTTCTCCCTCTCACTTCTCATGCCACCGGACCTGAAGGTGGCATCTGTCCTCCCTGCTCCTCACAGCTATTCTCAAACCACTATCCCTCTCTCCTCCCCAACATGCTCGACTGCAAAGTTCATGCCTTCAGATGTCACCACAGGGTGGCCCTCCATGCTTTAGTTACCCACAGACTTCAGTAGACTCCTCCTCATTTATTGAAGATTTAGTTCTTAATTCTCTAATAATACTCCTGCCATAATTCCTGGTTATTTAAAATCCAAGTCAATGATTCTTCCAGAAGCCTGGCCTCCCAAATCTTTATTCTTGCCTCTAATTATATTGTCCTCTGCCTTCTCCCAACCACCACTTTATGGTCATGCTTTGGACCTGATTATCACCAATAACTGCACCCACTACTGCACCATCCCAATCGCTGGCACCTAACAACTCTCTCATGACTGCCACCTACTTTCTCAGCTAGTTCTTTTGAATGACTCCCAACTGCAGCATCCTTCAACCCCATGAGGGCCTCAGTCCACCTTATCCAATCAGCGCCCACTGTTCTCCACCCTTCTCTCATCCTCATTTCCTCTAACCCAGCTTAGATTCCAGAATCTATCTTTGTCATCACTTGTATCTTCCCTCAACTCCCTTCCTTTTCCTCTCTCCATTCGTTACTCTTTTTCCCCTCTTTGACCCGGAACCTGTGCAGCTCAACATGGCTGCAGAAATCTATCCAATCATGCTGACCTGAGTCCATTTTTCAATCAATGACTGCCAATTTCAAGCAAGAGCTGCTCAGCCATCCGACTGTATTTCTCAAAACCAGTCATTCTTCCATGCACCTGGGAAACTCTTTCACATCATCACCTCTGTCTTCAAGTCTTAAAGAACTCCCTACGTTCTTCATAAGTGCCCTTACTTCTAATCTATCCGATGAAACAGAAGTCACAACAGCAAACCTTCCATACGTTCTTACCACTCTCTCTACCAAGCGGCCCTTTGGAACCTCCTTCCTTTGCCGCCTTCCTGTCTCTATGGATTAATTGCCTGTGCTCCTGGACTTGATGCTGGATCCCATAACTTCTCACCTGGTCAAAGCTATGGCTTCATCAATCCTGCCATCTCTCCCCATCATTAACTTTTACTCTGTTGCATCATGTCCATCAGAATATAAAATACTGTATTACCATCCATTAAAAAAAGAATTTCTCCCTTGGCCCTATATACACCTTTAGCTATGGTAATTTCTCTGCTCTCCTGTAAAGGCAATTTTTTAAAGGAGTTGGAGATGCTGAATGTGGCCCTATTGAACCCATTATAATCTATTTTTCATTCCATTTGCTCCCTAAAAATCCTTATATCAAAGTCACCAGTTATTTCCACATTGCCAAATCCTATGGTCAGTATCCAGTCCTTACTGTACATGATGCAGATTCTCTGCCCCATCTCCAAACACTCCCTTCATTTAACTCCACGGAATCCTCTCTTTTCTTTGTTCTGTTCCTACCCCATTGCCCATGCATTTTTTATCCCCTTTGCTTGTTCTGCTTCACCTCCCCAGCCTCTAAATGCTGGAGAACACAAGGAGCAGTCCTGGAGTTCCTTCTCCAGCTCTACTCATTCCCTTGATGATTAAATCCCAAACCGTCTATACTGATGACTTCCTGAATGCTGGATTCGTATCTCCAACCGCCTATTTGCTATCTCCACTTGGATGTAAAAACTCATCTCAAACTTTGCATAACTTAAATTCAACTCTTGTTTCTGTCCCAGTAAAACCTATTCTCCCCATTTCTATAAACAGCAAATCCATCTTTTCAGTTGCAGAAACCAAAAGCCTAAGAGTCATTGAGTCACTTATTGGTTTTATATCCTATGTCCAATCCACCCCCCAATCCTGTTGTCTCCTCCTTGAAGATATGTCCCAAGTCCAATCGCCTCTCATCACTCTGCTCCAGGTCACTGTCAAGTCTCTCTTGCAATGGCCCCCCCGTTTCTGCTCTCACCCCATTCAGTCTATTCACTAGACGGCCATCAGAGTGGGCCTTTCAAAATGTACAATAGATTATGACACGCTACTACTCAAACCCATCAAGGGCTCTCCATCTCATATAGAGGAAAAACTTCATAATCTCTTGAACTTGGGTTCTCTCTCTCTCTCTCTCACCTGGCTCCAGCCACATGGGCCTCCTTGTTGTTTCTGGAACATGCAGAGTATTCTCCCACTCTCTGCCCAAATGGCTCTCCCTTCAGATATCTGCATGGCTCATTCCCTCCATTTCTTCAGGTCCATGGTCAGATGACCCTTATCAGGCCTCACCTGACCACCCCTATAAAACAGCAACCCACAACCACTTAACCTTTCCTATGGGTTGAATTGTGTCTCCCCCAAAAATGTTGAAGTCCTAATCTCCAGTATCTCTGGATGTGACCTTATTTGGAAATGGGATCTCTGCAGATACTCCCATTAAGTTGACATCATTAGGATGGGCCCTAATCCAATATGACATGTGTCCTTATAAAAAGAAGAAATTGGGGCTCTGAGACAGAAACACAGGGAAGATGGCATGTGAAGATTGGAGTCATGCTGTCACTGTCACAAGCCAAGGAAGCACCAGAAGCCAGGAGAGAGGCCTGGGACAGATCCCTTCCCAGTGCCTCAGAGGGAGTGTGGCCCTGCTGAATTTGATCTTAGACTTCAGAACTGTGACATAATAAGTTCCTGTTGTTTAAGCCACCTCATCTGTGGTAATTTGTTTCAGCAATCTCAAAGCAAAGTAATACAATCCTTCTTCCCAGATTTCTTTCTTTCCTCTAGCCCACACACCCAGCTGATACTTTTTATTTTGTTTATTGACTGCCTTCACCAAGAATTGTTTTCTTACAGAAGATAGGAGAGACTATATTCTCTTTATATAGAGAACTGTCTCTCTCTCTCTCTCTCTCTCTCTCTCTCTCTCTCTCTCTCTCTTCTCTCTGAATAGATATATTAAAGACAAAGAAAGAGAAGGAGAGAGTATTTGGGGCTGGTAAATTCTTTCTGGACCATATATAGCAGGGTATCTCTATACTGCTATATTCCCAGAGCCTAGAAAATTGCCTGCCTGCACCTAGGAAATGCTCAGTAAATATCTGTTGAATAATTAAATAAGGGAATGAATGAATTCTTTCAACAGAAATCGGCCACCTAGTCTGTGTGAAGAACTGAGCCGAGCGCTATGACGTTATGAATAAGAGATATGCATTGAGAAACAGAAAAACACATTTCCTTTCATACTTTATGTTCTACCCAGCCTCGGTATTTTTCTATACTCCTCAATAATTGGCCTGATGAGCCTTCCCCAAGCAGTCATATCCCCACTGTTCCGGGCTTCCAGATTGTTTCATGAAGCGGTTTCCTTGTTTTGTGAAAAAAAGAAATGTGTCCAAGATTCCTTTTTTTTTTTTTTTGAGACGGAGTTCACTCTTGTTGCCCAGGCTGGAGTGCAATGGCACGATCTCAGCTCACCGCAACCTCTGCCTCCCGGGTTCAAGCGTTTCTCCTGCCTCAGCCTCCCGAGTAGCTGGGATTACAGGCATGCACCACCATGCCCGGCTAATTTTGTATTTTTAGTAGAGACAGGGTTTCTCCATATTGGTCAGGCTGGTCTCGAACTCCCGACCTCAGGTGATCCGCCCGCCTCGGCCTCCCAAAGTGCTGGGATTACAGGCATGAGCCACCGCACCTGGCCGATTCCCTTATTTTTAATTTAAATTGTGCTACAAGGCATCGTGTGAGCGAACTAGTCTCAAGTACTTCCTTTTTATTCCTGTTGAATCTTTAACCGATGGTTCCCCCCAAAAAAACAAACAACAACAACAAAAAAACCCACCACCTCTCTCACCCATACTGTATGGATGTCAAGTGATTTTCTTGCTTCTGTTCTCATTTTTTATGTAAGTTGAGCCTTTGCTGCAAACTCTCCACTCACATCTTTGCTGGAGCACCAGCCCCTTCATTTCTTAAATTCCCTGAAGATTAGCGGATTAAGATTCAAAGATGAGAATCTGGTGCAAAGAAAATACTTTGATATAAATTTGATGAAGAAAAAGAGAAATGTTGCAAGCCTTTTTCCATAACTGTTTCTTCTCAACTGTACTGCAAGTGTGTGGCTTCGTTCCTCCCCTCCATGACAATTCTGGGAAAATGAAACCTTAAATCTAAATGGACTCAGAAAGTCAGATTTTAAAGTCAAAATGATGAATGTCAACTCCCATACCCCAGTTGTAGCAGCAGTTAGTTTGAGTGAAATGTCATGTTTTTTTTTCCTGGCTGAGAAATCATCAAAATGTCTAACAAAGAAATATACCAGTACAGACTCTCAAAAAAGGGCATTCCTCAGAATCCAACCGCAACATGTTCCCTCCTCCGTGCAGCCTTCCCAGAATGCATCTGAGTTAAAGGCTCTCCCTCTTCAGCATGCAAAGGTCACAGTGTTTGCACACCTTGGACTCAATCACATCTGCTTCGGCCACTGTTTTTCTCTACATGCCATATTGCGCTAATTATTATTATTGCATTTTTTTTTAAGTTTTAGGGTACATGTGCACAATATGAAGGTTTGTTACATATGTATACATGTGCCATGTTGGTGTGCTGCACCCATTAACTCATCATTTACATTAGGTATATCTCCTAATGCTATCCCACCCCCCTCCCCCCCTCCACAACAGGCCCCAGTGTATGATGTTCCCCTTCTTGTGTCCATCTGTTCTCATTGTTCAATTCCCACCTATGAGTGAGAACATGTGGTGTTTGGTTTTTTGTCCTTGCAATACACATGCACACATATGTTTATTGTGGCGCTATTCACAATAGCAAAGACTTGGAACCAACCCAAATGTCCAACAATGATAGACTGGATTAAGAAATGTGGCACATATACACCAGGGAATACTATGCAGCCATAAAAAATGATGAGTTCATGTCCTTTGTAGGGACATGGATGAAGCTGGAAACCATCATTCTCAGCATTATTTCTAAATTATAAAAGCTATGAAAAATGGAGTCACTGCGCTTTTAAATATTCATCCCAGTGCCTTGTACACCACACAGAAGACTCCCAATAAAGATTTGATTAGTGCATACAGGAATAGAAAAGGCACGTCTTTAAAAGAGAGATAGCCTAACCATCTTAGAAGAACTAAATCTATTCTGAATTGGGGGCTCCCTGCAGGGAGATATTTTTACTACTACTCTACCACCTGCACTTTTCTCAGAATCGATGGCATTTGCGCTTAGCCTATTTCATCACAGGAGTTAAATTCCACCACCGTTTATATGTAAATGTAATATATGTAACTCCACCACCATTATATATATGTGATATATATATAATTCCACCATTTATATATGTGATAAATATAATTTAACCATCGTCAATATATATAGTGATATATACATGATACGTACTATAGAGATATCACATGTGTAATATATACAAGATATCACGTGTGATATATACGATAGAGATATCACATGTGTGATATATACGATAGATATGTGTGCTATATATGAGATATGTGTGATATATATGATAGAGATATATGTGTGATATCTATGATAGAGATATCAGGTGTGATATATATGATAGAGATATCATGTGTGATATATATGATACAGATATGTGTGATATATATGATAGAGATGTGTGATATATGATAGAGATATGTGTGATGATAGATATATGTGTGATATATATGCTAGATATCATGTGTGATATATATGCTAGAAATATCATGTGTGATATATATGCTAGAGATATCATGTGTGATATATGCTAGATATCATGTGTGATATATATGCTAGAGATATATGTGTGATATGATAGATATGTGTGATATATATGATAGATATCATGTGTGATATATGATAGATATGTGTGATATATATGATAGAGATATGTGTGATATATATGATAGAGCTATCATGTGAGATATATATATGTGTGATATATGATAGAGATATCATGTGTGATATATATGTGTGATATATGATAGATATGTATGATATATATGATAGAGATATGTGTGATATATGATAGAGCTATCATGTGAGATATATATGATAGCGATATCTGTGATATGATAGAGATATCATGTGTGATATATGATAGACATGTGTGATATATGAGAGATATATGTGTGATATATATGATAGAGATGTGTGATATATGATAGAGATATCACACGTGTGATATATATGATAGAGATCACACATGTGAGATATGATAGAGATATCACACGTGAGATATATGAGATATCACACGTGTGAGATATATGATAGAGATATCACACGTGAGATATACACATCACACATGTGATATATGAGATATCACACGTGAGATATATATCACACGTGTGAGATATGATAGATATCACACGTGTGAGACATATGATAGATATCACACGTGTGAGACATATGATAGATATCACACGTGAGCTATGAGATATCACACGTGTGATATGATAGATATCACACGTGTGAGATATATGACAGATATCACGTGTGATGAGATATCACACGTGTGAGATATGATAGAGATATCACATGTGTGATATGAGATATCACGTGTGAGATATATGAGATCATGTGTGAGATACAATAGAGATATCATGTGTGAGATATATGATACAGATATGTGTGATATGAGATATCATGTGTGATATATATGGTAGAGATATATGTGACATGACATACATATCACACATATCTGAATAGGATATATATGAGATATATATATATAATATTCTGCCACATGTATATGGTGAGCCATGGAAGTCTGCGTAGCTAGGCATATATGTGATATATATGAAAAAGGAAGAAAATTCTGACACGTTACAATATGTGTCGGCTTTGAGGACCTTATGCTAAATTAAATCAGTCACAAAACAAAAAATACTGTATGATTCCACTTATAGGATGTATTTAGAGTGGTCAAATTATTAGACAGAAACTAGAAAGGTGGTTGCCAGGGACCGAGAATAGGGCAAATGCAGACTTAGTGTTTCCTGGGCACAGAGTTTCAGTTTGGGAAGATAAAAAAGCTCTGGAGATGGATGGTGCTGATGGCTGCAGACCACCATTAGGTACATTATGAATGTACTTAATACCACTGAACTGGACCCTTTTGAGATGATACATTTTATGTTATTTGTATTTCAACACAATTTTAATTTTTTTGTGTTGGGTTCAGAAATAAAAATAATTTGAGATCAGGAACAGCAGAAAAGACATCACAGATGAATACATATTTGGGTAGCTTGACTGGACCTCCAAAGTCAAGTAGAAGTCCAGCAGGTGGGGGTGTTATGGAGCCACACATTCCAGGAAGAGGAATTGCAGGAGAGGGTGAAGCTTGCTTGGGGACGCCTGGAAGTCTGTGTAGCTGGTGCCAACAGTCTGCATGAAGAACTGATGGAAGAAAAGAATGGAAAGATGCACCAAAGAGAGTGTGCAGCCAGGCACAGTGGCTCAGGCCTGTAATCCCAGCACTTTGGGAGGCCAAGGCAGGCGGATCTCCTGAGGTCAGGAGTTTGAGACCAGCCTGGCCAACATGGTGGAACCCCATCTCTACTAAAAATACAAAAATTAGCTGGGCATGGTGGCATGCGCCTATAATCCTAGCTACTCAGGAGGCTGAGGCAGGAGAATCGCTTGAACCCAGGAGGCAGAGGTTGCAGTTAGCCGAGATCATGCCATTGCACTCCAGCCTGGGCAACAAGAGCAAAACTCCGTCTCAAAAAAAAGGAACAAAAAAAGAGAGAGAGAGAGAAAGAGTGTGTGCAAAATCTTTCATGGCAGGAGTCTGGGCTTTCCTCTCTGAACTAGATGTCACTCAGTTCCCCGAGGCACCCGTGGGCCCTCACATCTCTTAAAGGAGTCACACTTCAGTTTGGCTTAAGAGAGAATCTGAGTCAGCCTTAAGTGGAAAATGCTGCTACCTCAACTAAGACACAGCAGAGACCTTGCTTGGCTCTTAGCTTCCCGCTTCCCAGGTCTAGGAAGCCTACCTTGCTGCCCAGATTTGGCCAAATTACCATGTGTGCCCCCTTTCCAAGAACCCCAAGATCTGGCAAAGGCTGTAGCTCCAGGCGGCCCCCCTTAGACCCCTGAAGGGAAAGCACTGAGGGCGGATCTCTCGGCAGAGAGCATGGCTATTCTTGCAGCAACCTAGGAGAAGAAGGGCAGCCTGTCTTCTGGAGGCAGCAGGTGGGGGAAACTTGTAGGGCTAACAGTGTAGCGCACAACAGTCAAGGCCTTTGGAGCGCACACTGTTGAGATCCTGCCTTCCCAGAGCCCAGGAGGAAACCTGGCCTTCTCCCTGCTTTATCCCACCATCTTCCTTAGCACACTGCTGGCATGACACTATTTTGTAATTATTTAATAACATTTCTCTCCCTTCCCAGTCTGTGACTTCCTTGAAGAATGTGGCCATCTCTTAATCTTCCTAGTTGTAGTGCCCAGAAAAAATGCGCAATAAATTCAATGAGTGAACGAATGAGCTCCAATCTTGAGGATAGCTTTCTCCTGCTGATACTGTTCTCTCTGAGAAAGATCTTGGATTTACACAACAAACTTTTTAAGTGGAAGTATACGTGAGCTTTCCAACAGCAAACACCCATTAGGCGAGGAATACCTGAGACTCTCACATCATCTGGTCCAAATGCAGCGATGGTGAGGAACTTCCAGAATGCTCAGGAAGTTCTGCAGCTGAACTCAAAGACACCTTCCCCAAGTAGGGTCCTTGGGACACTTTGGTCTTTAGGGTCTTCAACCATTTCTGTTTCCTGAAGAGGCTCATTGTTTACATGTCAAATCTCAAAAGATATTGTCTTTGTATCTTGGTTTTATTGACTTAACATCATTTTTACCTTCTTGCTTCCTCTTGAGCACAGTAGCTAAAATGTAAGTAGCTTTTACCTAATGTTAAGGATGATGGTGACAATGCCACTGCTGCTGATGATAGCTCACATTTATTAAGCATTTTATTAATGCATTTATTAATGCTATGTGCCATGCATTTTGCTAAGTGTTTTACGTACATTATCTCATTTATTCCTGGCAGTAATATTAAGTAGTTACTATTATTATCCCTACTTTACCGATGAGAAAACAGGCACAGGAAAATTAAATAATGTACTTAAGATCATACAGCTGGTGGTGAACAGATTGTTATACAGTTTAGTATGGTTCAAAAATTGTCTAAGCTGGACTTTCTAAGACAGATGGACTTGTTTCCCTTGAGCTAGTAAGTCCTTTCTGACAATATTATCTCCATCCCCTGAAGTAAAATTGCATCATTAACCAACGTAGCAGAGAGTACTGATTAGAGATGGGCTGTGGAGTCATGAGTTCAAGCCCTGACTCTGTCATTTAGCAGCCTGTTCGTCTCTCTAAGACTCCATTTCCTCACCCATAAAACAAAGAGTTAAGGAAAAACTCATTGTGATGGTTGAATGAGACAGTGTATGGAAAGCACTTGGCACGTAATAAACAGTTATTCCACATTAACCATTAAGTTTATTCTTATTTGGTGCCTGCATATGCAAGGAATGTCACCATAGACTCTGACTAAGAAAATCTCAAATGGTTTAGTTTCTAGGAGCCAGGCAGGTAGATAAAATCAAGATACTGATCAAGGAAACACCTCAACACTCCAGAGAGGTGGACATAATTATTTACTGTGGCTCTGACAATATAATTTATAGTATGCAAAAATGGTAGCTTCTTGAATTATCCCTGACAACATCAGAAGGTAGTCAAACAAACAGACTCACGGTGCTGCCCCCATTCAGGGGTACTAGTCTCAGAATAGAGCATGCGCAGTGATATCCTATCCGAATGGCATCTCTGGGACTTGTGCAGTGTGGCTGGCGTGCCAACAAACATTTGCTCGCCTCCTCCCGTGGCCCATCTGTCCTCCAAAGTTTGATCACCTTGGGAAAACCAAGGCTGGATCAGAAACAATGATTTGAGTCCCAGTTTCACAGCTGGCTGGCTGTCTGAGCTTAACCAGGTTATTTAACTTCCCTGAGCCTCGTGCTATTTATCTTTACAACAGAGATTATCACAATTGTCACATACAGGTGTTGGGAGGATTAAGTGAACTCACTATGTAATAGGACCCATAAGAGTCTGGTAATCACACCGCTGGTTCTGTAAGAGTAGCACTTTGTGTTGTTTGTTATTTCATTTGTCAGTGCAAGAGCTATTAGCCAGAAGGATTCTGGACTAATGGTGCTAAATGATGCTGAACTCAAAGCAGGTCTTGCAGCTGATACGATATGGCCTTAGTAAATGTTCTCCTTACAAGACGCCAACTTTCCCCACATGAAGGTGCCCTCTTAATTATAAATAAATTACAAGATGTAAATCATTATAATAGAATTACAAAATGTGTTATAATATATTTAAATTATAATATATAATTATAAATAAATTTTGATTATCAATAAAGTTTTGTGCAATCAGATTCCTCTAAGCATCAAATATATAGTCATGTTCTTTCCCTAGTTTGTCTTAAGTCATTTGAACAAAGAAGACAAGCCTCTCGGTAACCCTGCAGTGCTTAATGACTGCCACTCCCAGTGTTCCCACGACACTCAAGCTTCCCAACTTTAGCTCTGAAATTAGGTTGGCAGATAAAGGCACCATTAAGCAGCTCCTTTTACCTCTGCAGTAGCAAAAATCTTACATAAAAGGAGACACCAAGAATATGCACTCTGCCCAAGGACGAGTCCCCAGCAACCTAGTTCCTCATCCAAGAGAAGCTTCTTGATTCTGCAGGTCCCTGATCTTGCTGCTGCTGCTTCTCTCCACCACTCCCCTCAAATGCAAAACACGGCTTCATCTTTTCTGGTTACAACCTGAGTGACATGACCTAGCATGTGCAAGGACAAATGCGAGTTTAGAAAATGTGACTCGTATCCAGACCCAGCTTCCAAAATCACCTTTGCTTCCTCCCACAGACTATCAAACTGCCCCTGCTGACAACACTCCCACAGCTGGTGCTTCCTGGGTTTGTGGGCTTTGATTTTTCCAGAATGTTCCTTGTTACTTTCAGAATCATATTTGCACTACTTTCTGGAGGAGTAGAAAATGTACATAGAACTCTTCCTTCTGCACAGATTTTGGAAATCACAGTGAGGGGTTAAACCTGTGTAGCCATATGCGAACACCTTATCTTAAACATTTAAAACATCCTTCATAAAACGTTGCCAGTGGTTAATTTTCTGGCAATTCTCCATAAGATTTACATCTCTATTCTATATCCATAAGTACAAGATAATTAAGACATATTCAACAGGAGAATAGTGACATACCCGAAGATATTAATTTTAGGAAGTATTTAAGTATTATGGTATTGTACTAGAATCTCTGTCACTAAAATAGAATCTAGATGTGAGTTGTTACAGACTGTCACTTTGTAACTTCTGGTTTGTAATTTTAGCACTTATCAGGGTCTAGTAGTCACTTAGACAGTCTTGTAATTGGGGTACACTGCCACCCAGTGGCAGTAAATGCCATGCTCACATTGAAATAAAAATTCGTGCCTCAGATTCATGGGCCAATTATTCAACAAATATGTAAACCAGGGATTGTCTACTTTTGAATAGCAAAAATTTGTCTCTTTTTTTAAATGACTGAAAATTATAAACATTTTAAGAAAATTTAAATCAATTCCAGAAGGGAAGAAATATGTGCGCTAACCAGTATCATTTAACTCTATGCAATTATTGAGCACCTACTACTGGTTTTCAGAAAAGGCCCCAAAGATAAGCAAGAGCATAGTCTCTGAACTAAAATTACAAACCTGAACATCAGTAATTAATTAGTCACGCACACAAATAACTGATTCACAGCTCAGCAAACATTTCCAAGCATGCCAGCCTCTGTGTGTAAGAATGTAAGAAGGCCTATAAAAAAGGTACTTAGAAAATGCTATGAGAACATAGAGAAATATGAGATTTACTCAGGCTGTGAAATTCAAGGAAGGATTCTCTGAGAAGACAAAAATTTGTGCATGGCTTAGAGAAACTGGTTAGCTTTTGACAACGAAATATGGTAAAGAAGGGCATTCTAGACAGACAAATAATACCAGCAAGGCACAGAGGTCGAAAGCATTGTGAAGAAGGTGAATAGTCTGGTTTGTCCTAACATGGGAGAGGTAAGCCTTGAAAGACAAGCTGGAGTGGGAATGCGAAGATCCTTGAATGCATGTGAGCACAATGGATTGTCCACCATATGCAATGGGGAAGGCTTTCCAGTGGAGAAACTGTATCTCACAGCTGTGTGCCAGCAAGAACAATCAGCTGAAAGCAGGGAAGATAGAGGAGACTGAGTTTGGTTGTTTGGATGGCACATGACAGGAGCTCATTCTCACTTTATACCAGGACCCCGAACATTTGCAGAGTTTTACTTTTGTGGGTATTGTAAGGTATGTGGAGGGGCAAGAAGAGAAGGCAAGGGAGAGAGGAAGGAAGGGTGGGATAAAAGCGGAAGGTTTGATGACAGCCTTCAGCTGTCAGCTGCCCAGTTATGTGCACTGCCAGGCAATAGCTGGAGCTCCAACCTGTTCCAACTATTTGGAGGTAGAACTTGGAGGTGGAATTCCTCAAAATTGATTTCTGGAGGATACTGAACTCTGAACACACACCAACACATTTAAAAACGACTTCTTCAAATGGATTTTGAAGAAATAGCAATAGATGTGCCATCTGAGGGATGACAGTTTTTAAAAATAGAGAATGCCCCAAACAATAGGGATGAAATCTTTGTGTGGGGCAAAGACACCAGTCAGCAGTTGGGTACGTCCCCATCACAATTCCCATGTGTGCAGCAGAATCTATGATCAGAAGCTCAATCAAAAGCCCGAAAAACCAACCTCTTTTCCTGGGAGTCCACCAGTGGGAGAACTTAAGCGAGGCTGTTTTAGAAACAAAAGGAATTAGAAACCAAAAGACCCTGCTTCGATCTCCTTTAGCATCATCTCACGATGGATGAGACCTGCTGAAACCCGGCAGGACCATGTCAGACTAGGAAACATGACACGCAAAGAGCATTTGTCTTGCAGGAATTCCACCAGATTCTTGGCTAAAGAAAGTGAAAGGGGGCTGGGTGCAGTGTCTCACGCCTGTAATCCCAACACTTGGGGAGGCCGAGGTGGGTGGATCACCTGAGGTCAAGAGTTCAAGACCAGCCTGGCCAACATGGCAAAACCCCGTCTCTACTAAAAATACAAAAAGTAGCTACCCGTGGTGGCAGGTACCTGTAATCCCAGCTACTTGAGAGGCTGAGACAAGAGAATCGCTTAAACCCGGGAGGCGGCGGAGGTTGCTGTGAGCTGAGATCACACCACTGCAGTACAGCCTGGGCGAGGGGGATAGAGTGAGACTCTGTCTCCAAACAAACAAAAAAAGGAAGTGAAAGGGCGCCATTACCAGGTTTGTGAGCTTGGGTAGAGGACACCTTGGCAGCAGAGGAAAAATAAGCACACTCCTCTTAGAGAGCTTACAGTGCTGGTGCCTGGAAGGGCTCCTCGTGAGATGAGTCCTTCAAGAAAGACAATTGCAGTCAGACATTCAGATCCGCTTGCCCTCTGTGAGCTTGGCACATCACTTAACATTTCTCGGCCTCTGTTTCCTCATCTGTACAAATGAGAGTCTGAATTCCGTAGTTCAATGGAGCTGTGAGAACTAAACAGGAAAGTGCAATATGGAGGAGTGAGCCCTCAATAAAAGGAGCTTGGTGTTCATGAGGGATTCACTACATCCCGGGTGATGTCACCACGGAGGTGAGACTGGGGTCTGATGAGCCATGCCTGCACAGCATTGCTGCCCTCTGAGGGACAGGACTTCAAGAAACTGTCAGGCTAGCGCTGAATCTTCAACACACATAATCAACTTCTGCACAAACCATATCTGCCAGTGGGTGTGCACGTAAGGTGGAGAGGATATATTGATGGAGTATGACATGAACAGCAATATCCCAGACTCTGCTGCCTTTATATGCTTTTGTACATCAAGGTCCAGGCAGAGGGTGTATAGAGCTTTTGTACAACAACCTTCCCACCCGCCAAGTACTTCTGGGAGTTCCCAAAGGGTGTCTCCATGTGATACACCCAAGTCCAGTCAGCTAACACCTGCGTCGGCCACTCTCCCTCCCTCACTGCATGAGGGGAACCCCGCGTCACATACAGGCAAGCTACCTCATCAGGGCACTGTCTATACTCAACAACCAGGCTCTACCATCTCAGGGACAACACTGCTTTCCTAGGAACCCACCCTAGGCCGTAGCTACTCTAAACTGCCTGCAGAAGAAGAGACAATGCCAGTATGGAAAATAAAAGATTACCATAACTCCTTTGACCCTCCTTCTCACTAAAGCTGGGCTTACTTTCTCTGTCTTCGAATCCGGGCTGGCCTGCAACTACTCTAACCAAGAGAGAATGTGAAAGTCACTCCATTTCAGCCTGGAACAGGACTGGCAGCTGCTGCCTTGGTCTCTTGAAGCTCTGAGCTGCCAGGTTGAAGCTGAGTATCCTCCCAGTACCAAGTAGAGAGGCTCCAGAGAAGAAGCAGGACTCAGCTGAGCCAAGCATTCCAGCCATCCCTGCCAGTGTGCCGGGGATGTAAATGAAGGCATCTTAGCCTAGAAAAGCATTGGCTAGATACCATCACATGGCCCAACAGACGCCACTTGAGGCAAAAGAATCACCCAGCCGGGGCCTGCGCAACTTCCTCACCCACAAAACCATAAGAACTAATACAATGGTGGTTGTGTTAAGCCACTGTTTTGGAATAGACTGTCCCGCAGAAACAGATCATTGAAACAGCCTCTCTCTCTCTCTCTGCTTCACCGTTTGGCTGTTTCACTCCAGCACCAAAGCCACGCCATTTGTGTCTTGCCTTCCTTAAGACTATAGGTCACTGAGATTTATTTCACATCCACAACACACACTAGAAATCCACACTTCCCCCCAGTACCCCTCAACCATGGGGAGATCGGGCTAGGAAATAAATATAAATAACACACTCAGCTTTCAGAATTACTCATTCCTCCAACAACTATTAAAGGCAACGAAGAATGTGCCTGACCCTCGTACTCACTCAGAATCAGTTTTCTCACTGGAAAGTCCTTAGACTCTCAAGCAAAGGCCCCCATGGGAAAGGGCCAGCATCCCAGCAGAGAGCACAGCTCCAGGTTAAGCTGGAATGTCTCTATGCAAAATTGTCTGTCCATTAGCAAAACACATGTCTCTAGCAATACCCAAGGCTTTGTCTGGATCCCAGGAGGTTTCATTTCTCACCCATCCCTCTTGTAAGAGAAGTGAGACACCTCGCAGGCCTCTTTCCTCCCAGGATGTGCCTGGATTTCAAGAATTTGAAAGGGTGCTGTTAGCACAATCCAGACCTAGGGTTTTCAATAGGTTTTGGCACATCAGCTGAACACGTTGGAATATTGTCAACGCAGATCCTGGAGCCACTCAGGGCTGTGCACGGGGGCAGCAACAGGTCAGATAAGATCTGTTTGACATTTTGCATGCTGAAAAGCACGAAGTTCTCTCCATGCAAATGCTTTTCATTTCAAGATAAATCGAGAATCTAGGTAAATAAAGGGTTGGGTTTTTAACGGTACTTTAGATGTACAACTGGATGTCAAATTGGCTCCATGTGGGGATTCAGAGCCTAAAAATGTATTAGACTAGGACATGCTTGCATTTCCATGGGACGTTTAAAGTTTTTATGCTTTACTATCAAATCAGTGCCTTCATAGGGAATCCATACAAAGTGACAAGAACACACACCATCTACGAGATGATGGCAACTCAGGAACACAAGGAATGACGTAGTTTGTACTAATGTGGTACGAATCATATAGCGGCTTGTCATTTTTATAGCATTTATAGTTACTTGTCTCAACAATATGGTAAGGTAGGTATTAAATACCTGTATATTATAGGTGGACAAAGAAGTCCATAAAAATCATGACCAAAATAATCAGTGACAGAGAAGGAGCTCAAATATGGCTTTTCTGAAGCTACATCTGGACTCTTTATGTGCACCTGTCTACCTGTAATGAGCATCTTTTGGTTTTTCCAACCCAGATTTCATAGCCTCTTCTTTTGTTACTAGCCCTTTATTTTCCTCTGGGAAATCACTCCTCGATCTTTATGACACAGTCTTGATGAGAATGTCAATCAAAGATCCCCCCGAACCTCAAGCCTCTGGCCAAGGATCCTCCCTCCCTGGAACCTGACTCCTGGGCATACAAAATGCTGTGGCAGCTGGAAGCCAACAGTAGCTCTCTGCCTTTCAGAGGCCTGAAAGTCACTTTTCCTTCCCCTTGAGCTACTCTACACACATTTCACAGATTGTGGTTTTGTTGATATCAACCAGTTGAATTCCATTGCTTGCAACCAAAGAATCTTTGGACCCTGAGCCCCAGTCAACAGTGTAGACCATTTCAGCATTTGCTGCTTTAATTTCTAATAGGAAAGTCAGATAGTATGCAATGTCATGTTTTCACTAATCACTATATAGCAGAATGTTGAGATATTTCCTGTCATCTCGGAATTAACAGCCAGTACCCCAAAGCTGAGGACAAAGAGGTAAAAAGTAACATACATTCTAAAAAGACCCAACAACAACCAGAACCCCTCCACCCCCACCCCTGGCCCCCCAGAGCTCACTATGAGATAATGAGATTGGCTTTATTAATTGTGTCTTTTTCTGCATTTGGCTGCTCTGGCTTCTTGGGACTTTGCTGACCCTTGGGACTGCCCCTCCCAAGGTTAGCTCATTCCTAGATACAGTAAATGAGTCAGGTTGAGCATGTCTTTCAAATGCGAACCAACCAATCCAGAGCCTCCATCCCCAGCCACCTCCTCTATTGGGCGCTTACACTCTGGGCCACACTCCACCTGCCCTTAATCCCCCCAGGGCCAGGTCCCAGACAACTAGGGACAGCCCCATGCCCCAGAGCCTGCTGAAATCATGCAAACTAGCCGATCGTAACCCTGCTCACCCTGCCTCACCTGTTCCTTCTGTGGAAACCCCAGTAAAGGCCCTTACTTATACTTCCCCCTCTCCCTCTGCCTCCTGACCCACCTGGTGCTTCCCTGTGTGGCCCTACATGGCATCCAGTGCCCCCTGCTTCTACAGATCTGTGAGTATAAAAACTGTTTTCATGACAGTCATTTCCCCGTCTGTGTCTTACCACACCAAGGTAAAATAAATCCTAGGTACCCTTAGAACACTGCCCTTGCTCCACAGACACTCCCTACCTTGCCCCCCTTTAAAAGGAGAATGAGTGGAGGAAAATTGATTACGCACAGGCCGTTGTCAGCCTCGTGACAAGCAGTGGCCTTCCTCACTCTTCCCCAAAGCCAAGCGAGGGGCATTATCCAAGATCGTCTCCTACAGTAATGATGGGGGCCTGCAGGAAGGGGTACTGGCACCAGCATTCCACTCTCCAGTTGGAGATCTCCATCCATCATAGCCTTAATAACAGGAGAAAAGAGAAGTGGAGGGAAATGGGAGGGGGTCGTGGAGCAGCCTTTGGCCCACTGGCATGGCCAGGATGCATGAATTTCCCATGGTTGAATGGACACTGTGGAATGTAGCTGGGCTCAAGCCATCTTTCCAGTACCCCACCAAGAGGGCTGCCTGCCAGGCGAGCAGACTTTAATAATGGAGCTGACGAAGAACGGACATCAGTCCAGAGCCAGAGAGCCTGTGTCAGGGAACTGGGCAGTGGGGAGACCCCACAGGGTCTTCCAAAGAACTCAAGCAGTACCCCTAAGACAGCCAGCACTTGGATACCTGCCACCCAGCACTAAGCCAGGCAGTGTCCGCCAGAGAAGCAGCAACTGCAGAGGGGATTGTAAATGGGCCCAGCTGAGGAGGAAGGTTTGCCTTGGTGATGATGATGGACAGGGGGTGGGAGGCGATAGTGGCCTTTAGGGGAGCAGTGTTAATGATTGGGAGGGGTGCAAATGGAGCTTCTGGAGAACTATTTCATAATCTGGTTTACACAAGTGTGCTAGTGAAAACTCAATGAGCACACTATGATTTGTGTACATTTCTATTTGTATGTTGCATTCCACTTTAAAATCTACTTTTAGGCTGGGCGCAGTGGCTCACGCCTATAATCCCAGCAATTTGAGAGGCCGAGGCGGGCAGATCACTTGAGGTCAGGAGTTCAAAACTAGCCTGGCCAACATGGTGAAACCCCATCTCTACTAAAAATACAACAACAAAAATATTAGCCAGGTGTGGTGGTGGGCACCTGTAATCCCAGCTACTTGGGAAACTGAGGCAGGAGAATCACTTGAACCTGGAGGCAGAGGCTGCAGTGAGCCGAGATTGCACCACTGCATTCCAGCCTGGGTGACAGAGTGAGACTCCGTCTCAAAAAAATAAATAAATGAAAATAAAATCTATTTTTAAAAAGGACACTGAAGCCTAGGCAACGTAGTGAGACCTTGTCTCTACCAAAAATTTAAAAACATTAAGCCAGGTATGGTGGCATGCACCTATAGTCCCAGCTATTTAGGGAAATCACTTGAGCCCAGGAAATTGAGACTGTGGTTAACCATGATCACGCCACTACACTCCAGCCTGGGCAATGGAGCAAGATCTCTGCCCAAAGACGAGTCCTCCACAACCCAGTTCCTCATCCATGTCCTGCTGATGCCCAGAGTCCCTGGTCTTTCCGCATCTTCCTTTGTATCTCTAATATACCCTCAAATCCTGAACACCGGAATTTGTTTCCTTTACTCCTTTCAGGTGGTTCTTTCCCCAGCTTTGGGGACATTTCTTCACGTACATGAGCTACTCAGCTCTCACCTAAGGCTCAAGGGGGACCCTCTGCAGATCTCTGGGGCTTTCTCTCCATAAATCCCTCTTCTCTCTTGTATACATGCCCTATGATATCCAGCTGCCTTGCGTTCCCACACTCCCATCTCTGTCTTTTCAACACAAGGAGAACATCAGCTCTGCCCGAGTTCCTTTCCCTGTGCTGCAGCCTGGAGACTTTCTCCAGGCAGTAAGCTGGGGCCATCATAGGGCTCACCCTTTTTTGTTTCCCCCATTCTGATCCCTGTCCTCTGCTACCTGATTTCTAATGTCCAAAAACCCTTGTTTCATATATTTTCTCTTATTTTTTAGTTGTTTCTGGTAGAAGGATAAATCTAGTACTAGTTACTCCATCATGGCCAGAGCAGACATCCCTGGACTTAATTTTTTTTTTTTTTTCCTTTGAGATAGAGTCTCACTCTGTCACCCAGGCTGGAGTGCAGTGGCTCAATCTCGGCTCACTACAACCTCTGCCTCCCGGTTCAAGTGATTCTCCTTCCTCAGCCTCCCAAGTAGCTGGGACTACAGGCGCCTGCCAACACACCCGGCTAATTTTTGTATTTTTAGTAGAGACAGGGTTTCACCATGCTGGCCAGGCTGGTCTTGAACTCCTGACCTCGTGATCCGCACACCTTGGCCTCCGAAAGTGCTAGGATTACAGGCATGAGCCACCGCACCTGGCCCCGTGGACTTAATTTTAACAGTGAAGAATCACCTGAAAATTATGGTCTGTGCTCAAGATTTATTAAAAAACAGAAAAATGAGGCTGGAAGTCAGATTGGAGGCATCATTTAGAGCAAAAAATAAAAAACTATTTCCATTAGAATTCCACTGAGTTCAGGCCAGTGATTAAACAGGGTATGTACACTTATATTTTACTAATATATTAGTACTATTTCATATTTAATATTTCTAATATGTTGTCTATTTGCCCTTTACAAAGTTGTGTCCATGTGGATGATTCTGTCTTAGATTATAGCTAATGGGGAAAATGAAGGGTAGTTCTCTAAGCTGTGCCAAATGTACTGCCCCTACCGAAAGGAACCGACAAGTGCTTGGGAATCATGATGACAAATACGGACATTTAATGAAGTAGAAAGTGTAAATACTATGAGCTAAAAAGGCTTTACCAACAACCTTCTCTAAAAATGGAAACTTCCCCAAAGATGCCCCCTCTTCTGTGTCTGCAGAAACCACAAGAGAATCTTAGAGAATTATATAGAGCCATTACAGTACAGATCCAAGCCAGCCTTTGCAGCTAGCTCAGCAGCTCAAGTTTCACAGAGCTTGGACTGCATCCTGGCTTTCTGCTAGGATGTTGGGAATAAAAGATACAAATAATACAAGCCCTCTGATTCGATAAATCAGGACTCATAACTGATCAAGAGATCAATGATAGGAGAATAATTTCTGAAAATTGGGCTGGGCATGGTAGCTCATGACTGTAATCCCAGCATTTTGGGAGGCCAAGGCGGGCAGATCACCTGAGGTCAGGAGTTCGAGACCAGCCTAACCAACATAGTAAAATGCCGTCTCTACTAAAAATGCAAAAATTAGCCGGGCATGGTGGCAGATGCCTGTAATCCCAGCTACTTGGGAGGCTGAGGCAGGAGAATTGCTTGAACCCGGGAGGCAGAGGTTGCGGTGAGCTAAGATCGTGCCACTGCACTCCAGCCTGTGCAACAAGAGCGAAACTGTCTCAAAAATAAAAATTAAAAAAAGAGAATAATTTCTGAAAATGGAATATGCATGTCTTAAACCTTTTATTTTATCTTAACATTCAAATGTATCAATCAATCACCAATCATTTGATATAGGGCCAAGGCCTTTGAACAAGTTAGCTAGTGGGGAGTTCTACCTCACCTTTCTCACAGAAGCAATACCCGTAATGAATCATCTATAATTCCCAGTTTTGATATCTTTGAAGTAGAGTGGAAACTTATAGATACTTGTAAAGCAATCTAAATTAAAAGTTCTCAGGGTTTTGGCCGGGCACAGTGGCTCACTCCTGTAATCCCAGCACTTTGGGAGGCCGAGGCGGGTGGATCACAAGGTCAGGAGATCGAGACCATCCTGGCTAACACGATGAAACCCCGTCTCTACTAACAATACAAAAAATTAGCCGGGCGTGGTGGTGGGCACCTGTAGTCCCAGCTATTCAGGAGGCTGAGGCAGGAGAATGGCGTGAACCCGGGGGCGGAGCTTGCAGTGAGCCGAGATCGCGCCACTGCATTGCAGCCTGGGCGACAGAACAAGACTCTGTCTCAAAAAAAAAAAAAAAAAAAAAAGTTCTCAGGGTTTTTTAACAGAGGTTTGTTGTTTGTTTGTTTCTTTGTTTTAATCCTTCGCTCTTAAAGTTAACCAAAGCATATCCAGTTTTGCAGCATTTTTTTAAGTAAGTTCACTTTATCAAATTCTTTACAAAGCTTCCAATATGGTTTTCAGAGCATCAACGCCCTTCTTGTTCAAATTTCATTATTTTACAGGACAAGTCTTAGTACCAGGTTTACTTATATAACCAAGTTTGAGAGTAACCACACTCACTCCTGCAGAGCACAGACCGGTGGAAACAGAAGGGTAGATGTGGTACCAGAGCTCAGCAGAGCTCTGCTGCCATTGTCACTGTGACTTACAGAGAGGATGGCGTGAATTTGTTCAACCCAGAAATTGGGTAATGAAGCTTGATTAAGACTGCTTCTTTTGCAGTCAATCATTTTTTTGCATGCTCTGTTTGATCAGCTGAGGGACAGCCACATGGAGATGTCCAGTTTTATATTTAAGAGGAATGTCTGGGCTGGAGATACTGACTTGGGGAGTCTTCTGCATATAAGAGATGGTTGAAGCCGTGTATGAAGGCGACAGAAACAATGGAAAGTGTAGAGAATGAGGGGAAAAGAGGACAAAGGTAGGGTCCACAGAACCTTGACATTTAAGAGACAGCCAAAAAGAAAATGTTGAAAGCAGGAGTCACTTTAGAGGGCCCCTAAGTCTGAGTTACCATGGTAGCTAGTAGGGCGGGCAAGCCAGGGGCAGTCAATGAAGGATCAGTATTAATCAGCTTCTCTGATAAAACTAGCAAGAGTTAGAAACATGCAGACTCTACAACTCACAGTTAACACCAAGCGCACACTAATGAAAATGGGGACACAGTCAAGCTGGCTCTCAACTTCAGGACTAAAGAGTTTGAATAAACATCCACTCTGTATTTGATAAACGCCATCTCTACTCTTCATTTTGGACAAACATAACATTGCTACTGTAAGAATGAACGGGCCGGGTACAGTGGCTCACGCCTGTAATTCCAGCACTCTGGGAGGCCGAGACAGGTCTATCACTTGAGGTCAGGAGTTCAAAACCAGCCTGGCCAACATAGCGAAACCCCGTTTCTACTAAAAATACAAAAATTAGCTGGGTGTGGTGGCATGTGCCTGTAATCCCAGCTACTCAGGAGGCTGAGGCAAGAGAATCACTTGAACCAGGAAGGCGGAAGCTGCAGTGAGTCGAGAAGGCACCACTGCACTCCAGCCTGGTGACAGAGCAAGACTCTGTCTCAAAAGAGAAAAAAAAAAAGAATAAACAAAGAAAAATCACTAAATAAAATGAAAATATCAATTCAAAAGAAGAGAACTAATAAGTTAAAAACATGTATTAGTCCATGAAATAAGAGAAAACTTTTAGGAAAATGTCTTGGCATTTCCAGTCTCATCAAAACTTCTGTTTCCAACTGCCTCTGAGTGGAATCTCAGTGAAAGTGAAGGGCAAATTGCATCTATAAAACTAGAGGAGAAACAGAAAAAAGTCTGAAATCAGGAAAAAGTCTGAAATCAGGAAAAAAATACCTGGAGATGGAAAATACAAACATCAAATTTTAAAACACAGTGGAGGTAATGAGCAGCATATTATGTACTGAAGACAATTAATCAGGGAATTAACACGAGCTCAAGACATTCTCCAAGGATTTGAAGCAAAGCACACACAGAAGTTTCAGCCAATGTACTAAGAAAAAGAAAAGTATAAACATGAAAACAAAGGAATGAATTATCATAATTTGAAAATTTCATAGTTGTAATCTTCCCAGAAATTACCATTGTTATAATTGTAATTTGCTCAAAAACATCTAAAAGCAAGAACTAAGACATTATTCAACTAATAAGATGAGTCAATTAAGTTGACTATTTACAAAGGCAAAAAAACTTAAAAACATGAAAAGCTAATTTAAAACCATGAAAGTTAAATTAACAGTAAACATACAAAATGTATCATCACTAGTTATCAAGTAAGTGCTTAATAAGACAATGGTGTAGTATTTATTATTTATAAATTAGTAAAAAATAATAATTTATCAGTTATTGCCAAGTATAGAGGGAAATGAGCCTTCTGACAAATAGGTGGTGGGAAGATAAATTTATACAACTTTTAGGCAATCTTTTTGTGTCTTAGAATTTTTGCATACATTTTGATCTGGCAACTCTACTTCCAGGAATTTATCATAAGGAAATAATCATGACTGTGCACAAAGATATAGCTACAATGGTTAACATTATAGTACTGCCAGTAATGGTGAATTATTGAAAATAATCTAAATTTCCAACAATAGGAGATTCATTAAATAGATTATGGTATAGCTATATGGTGGGATGATATATACCCATTAAGATAATGTAATAGAAAAAATAATAAAAGAAAACGTTTAAAATATGTAAAAGGGACTTTTAAAGTTATATTTTTTAAAATTCCATTTTATTTTAACATATCTATACATATAAAAAAGAGAGACTGGAACTGTGTACACCAAAGTGTTAAAGTCTAAATGATACAATCATGACTTTTGATTTCTTAATTTTTCTTTCTTGTGTTTTCTAAAAATTCTAAAATTAATATTAAGCAAATATTTTAGAAGCTATCTTAATACTTTTCCCTGAAGTCTCTCTCACAGTTGCAATTTCAAATTAAAATTGCAGATATGACAGAATTTTGAATACAGGATAATAATCTGGTTTCCCTCTAATTTGCAAGGTTTTACACATGTTCAAATAATATATACATGGAGGCATGAAAAGATCAAAGAATGTCAAAGATGTCAGCGTGAAAACATACATCTTTGTGCAGATTTGAACTTCTATATTTATAAAAAGTACAAAAAAAAGACTACAGATAAGAGATGATAGAACTTTTAAAGCTAGAGCCTTGCTGATTTTTCTTTTTTTCTGTATAAATATTAGCTGAATAAGCTGCTCAGTAAGGCCTCCGACCAGTGGAAGTTTCATAATTTGAAAATTGCATAGTTGTAATCTTCCCAGAAATTACCATTGTTATCATTGTAATTTGCTCAAAAAAACTGTAAAAACAAGAACTGTTTTCTGTTCCCAAGGTAAGTAAACTAACTGCCTCTGAGTAGAATCTCAATGAGAGTGAAGAGCAAATTGCATCTATAAAACTAGAGGAGAAACAGAAAAAAGTCTGAAATCAGGAAAAAAAAATACCTGGAGATGGAAAATATAAACATCAAATTTTACAAACATCTCATTTCTCTGCATTTTTCCTATGTTCCTTATCTACCCTGCCCCACCCTCACTCCATTTCTTCTGGAAGCCACCAAAGGTAGGGTGGCCTCTTGTCAGGTGTCCATCACTGCTTGCATGGAAGGAGGAAGGGATTTAAACCCACCTGGTTGGCACAGCTCCTTTGAGCTACACTGAATGTCTGTCACGAGAGGCAGCTGCTTCATCACCTACCTGTCCCTTCACTCACTCAACTGTGCACATACTTTTCTAAAGCAGGTGGTTTGGCTTTATGCAGTGTGGCCTCTGCCCTCTCTTGCATATCTCAAGACTGCAGTGTACCCCATCAGTCAACTTGTCTTAGCCAGGGCAGAAGAGGACATGGGGCATGATTTGAGGGAATACCATTCACAGCGTCCCCAGGAATCGATTTTACAAAGTATAGGCGCAGTCTCAGGGGAAGGCATTTTCTTACCTTTGTTTGTTGTCTCTGGGTTTGTGTCTGTATGAATGGGATGCTTCCACTCTAGGGCAGCTGATTTATTTACCTTGGGAACAGTTTAAGATGACTCCAGGAGGGCCAGCAGAAATTATTAAAGCAGTAGGGAAATCCCAGATCTCCTTTGGGCTTAATGCCAAGATCCCAGAATTTGAGGTCTAAAATCTGTCCCACTGTACCGTGATTCTACAGACAGTTGGACAGTGGTATAAACAAATCAACAAGCCTGGGTCCTAGAGGTTGAGAAGAGAATAAATGATCTTCCCTTCATTAAATCCTCATCACCCCATAACATCATAGCATAACCTTAATTCGCTTTTGCATTTCCCATTACTCTCCTTGCGATGAGGGAATTCAAATGGGCATTGAACATACCCGTCTGACACATAGGCGGGTTTGTATGTGTTCTACACAAAGTGGAGGGAAGGGAACTTTCTGAGCCTGGAGTCAGCTTACCCTGCTCCATCAGTGTCAAAGAGAAAGCCAAACAGACTCGCAAGAAGTTGGCTTCTGCCAAAGGGTTCCTCAGGAGTGCAGACAGACAAGCAGCAAGGCTCCTGGATCTGAGAACTGCCCTTTTCCACCAATGTCAAACACGTTTCACAGCTGACCTGCCAAGAATGTGGATCCTGCTTCAAGATACACAGTCTGAGACAGCACGCAGCAGCCGAAAGAGGGAATCTCCGTTTAGCCTGAATTCTAGTCTATCCCTACAGATGGACACTGTATATGGACTGGCAAGTATCCCAGCCCTTGGCTGTGCTCTAAAAGTTCAGGATTACTTCACAAGTAGATTGAAGAGATAAAGCAACTCCTCCAAATATGCCTATGTTTTCCCTGGGGATTTGTAAAGCTCAGTTGATGGAGATTTGCAGGGTCAAACCTTTGTGAGCGGTTTGACTAGGACAGGTCCCGCTGCAATTATATCTCCACAACAGAGCCCAGAAGCACCCACGCTATGGAACTTTCCCTGGATTTAGAGTGTTTAAACTCCACCACATTGATCATTGCCTTTTCTCTATGTGTATGGCCTCTACGTCTGTTAGGTCAAAATCAAGGGCAGTGGGACGTTACGAGAGAGCACTAAACCAGGAGTAAAGAAATCTGGGTGCAAGTCCTAATTTCACCACTGATTTTCTCTGTGGCCTTAGAACATCCATTTGCCCTTACTTAACCTTAGTTCTCATATCCTTAAAATGAGGAGAAAGGAAGGACATGGATGAAGCTAGAAACCATCATTCTCAGCAAACTAACACAAGAACAGAAAACACCGCATGTTCTCACTCATAAGTGGGAGTTGAACAATGAGAACACATGGACATAGGGAGGGGAACATCACGCACCGGGGCCTGTTGTGGGGTGGGGGGCAAGGGGAGGGAGAGCACTAGGACAAATACCTAAGGCATGCGGGGCTTAAAACCTAGATGACAGGTTGATGGGTGCAGCAAATCACCATGGCGCATGTATACCTATGTAACAAACCTGCATGTTCTGCATGTGTATCCCAGAACTTAAACTGTTAAAAAAAAAAAAAAAAAGAGAGAGAGAGAGAGAGAGAGAAATAATAAAAAAAAAAATGAGGAAAAAGAAAGATAGCTTTGAACTAGAGGTCCTACACAGACTTGACATTCTATGATTTCTTTTTCCTGCCCAAATACCCAAAAATACCTGATCCTACCGGTATAGTGGTGAAAAGAGCTGTAAATCTCAAGCTGGGCAGAAGCCCTTTGCAGGAGGCATAACCAAATCTTGTGTAGCTATTAGCAGAAAGCAGTCTAAGAAGTAGCACTGGAGGGTGGAAACAATAGTCTTCTATCTCTCCCAGAGTTCCATGTTGCCTCTATACTTCCAAACTAGAATATCTACCAAAAAGAGCTTCTAAGAGAAGTAGGCATAAGCCTAGTTTTCTATGTTAATGGTCCACCATTACCTAGACCTGCCCAAAGTACCCAAGAATCTGCCCCTGGGCTCCAGTGTTCTTTGCTCCAGCAAACCTCACTGTTGCAGCACATATACCTTACTAATTCCCATTTCTGCATTAGACTTACAAGTCTGGAAGGCGCTACCACTTCCTCCACAAATTAAACAACATAAATAGCATGCCTACTCATGAAAACAAAATGTACATCTGTATTAGAAATCCAGAAAAAAGATACCAAATATACATACAAGAATAAAATATGCTAGGCAAAACACCATCTATTAAATTTCAAAATCACAATGAAATTGATCATTATATTTTTTAATTACCAAAAACTCTGACATTTAGAAGATGTAGAAGACCTTTATAGACATGAAATTATAAGTTGGTTGTTGTTTTTTTTTTTTTTTTTTTTTTTTTTTAAGAGACGGAGTCTCGCTATGTCACCCAGGCTGGAGTGCAGTGGCATGATCATAGCTCACTGCAGCCTTAATTCCTGGGCTGAAGCAATCCTCCTGCTCCGGCCTCCCAAAGCCCTGGGATTATAGGCTTGAGCCATCACACCCAGAAGAAATCATGAAAATTCTTTTAAAAGGTTTTTAAAATTTTACCTCCAAAAAGACTTTAGGCCCAGATGGTGTTATCAGTGAATTATTTGGAACTTTCATGCAAACAAACAAACAAAAATGTCTAAGTCATTCTAAAGGATGGAACTAGAAATCACAAATCACCTAGTGGCTCAATTCCAATGAATAGAGAAGAAAAGACAAAAATGTAACTTTATAATGAAGAGGCCTTGCCAGCATTACCTTCACTAAGTGACCAAGGTTCCCTCTGATACAATGTGATGAGAAGGGCGCTTCACGTCTATGGCTGCGTTCCCAAAAATCCATAACCCGGATCGAATTAGGAGAAAAATACAACAGACAAACTCAGACTGGGGGACAGTCTACGGGATGCCCAGCCAGTACTCTTCAAAACTCTCAAGGTCATTAAAAACAAAAAAAAGTACTGAGAAACTCACAGACCACAGAATTAGTATCATGTGGTATCCTGAACTGGATCCTGGAATAGAAAGAAAACACTAATAGAAAAAACGTTGAAATCCAAATAAAGTCTGGAGTTAATTCAATAGTAATGGAGCAATGTCTGTTTTTCAGTTTTAACAAATGTACCACGGTAACATACAAAATTGGGCGGGGGGTATCCAGGAATTCTTTAAACTATCTTTACAATTTTTATGTAAATCTAAAATTATTTCAAAATTAAAACTATAAGTAAAGAGTTAAAGGGGAAAATGTTTATGATAATCTCAATAGATACAGGGGAGATGTAAAGCAAAAAATAAAATTTACAGTCTGTGGCCTAGATGCTTATAGGATCTGTGAGGTGTGACTACACTCTAAGAAACTCCCGTCCATGATTTCAGGGGAAGCTGATAAGCTGGAGGCATGGAACTCCACCTAAGGTTAAGAAGATTAAGAGTAGTATTTGAGTTTCCCCTATGAAAGAATGAAAACTTCGGGAAATCAGACCAAAATCAGACTCCAATTTAGGGACCCAACCCCTAACTACTTCTAGTGAGTGTTCTCTTTTATCTTTTTCTTCCTCTGTAAATTTTCATCAAGGCAAATTCTAAAACCATTCTATGAAAAGTGTAGGATTTCTGGTACCCTCACATCAAAACCAGTCTCTTGTTTAAACCACCTCAATAAAACATGCCCAATTTCAGGACTCCTCCCCTGACCCCACCGGCACCTCTGATACAGTCATCTGGATATAATCTCCAATCTGTTCTCTCCCTTGCACATACCTGGCAGTAGAGGCTCTCTTTAACATTGAGAGGTGAAGCCAGCTGGGCTTCTGGGTTGGTTGGGGACTTGGAGAACTTTTCTGTCCAGCTAAAGGTTTCTAAAAGCACCAATCAGTGCTCTGTGTCTAGCTAATAGGGTGGGGACTAGAAGAACTTTTCTGTCTAGCTAAAGGATTGTAAATGCACCAATCAGCACTTTGTGTCTAGCTAAAGGTTTCTAAATGCACCAATCAGCACTCTGTAAAATGGACCAATCAGCAGGATGTGGGTGGGGCCAAATAAGTGAATAAAAGCAGGCCACAGAGCAAGGGTCAACAACTCGCTGGGGTTCCTTTCCTCCCTGTGGAAGCTTTGTTTTTTCACTCTTCGCAGTAAATCTTGCTGTTGTTCACTCTGGGTCCCCGCCACCTTTATGAGCTGTAACACAGCGAAGGTCTGCAGCTTCATTCCCGAAGTCAGCAAGATCAGAACCCATCAGAAGGAAGAAACTCCGGATACGTGGGAACATCAGAAGGAACAAACTCCGGACACACCATCTTTAAGAACTGTAGCACTCACTGCCAGGGTCTGCGGCTTCATTCTTTTAGTCAGCGAGACCAAGAACCCACCAATTCTGGACACAACATGACCCCCTTTATTCTCTAAGATGACCAGCTAGCTAATCTCATTAATCAGAGCCAACTCATTTTTCACTATCAACCTTTAGTCATTAAGAATTACTTAGTTGCTGGGTTGCTGCCTGAAACCCACATTTTGATTCAGTATATGTAGGCAAGTATCAGAAAAAAAGAAAAAAGTGACTTTAAAATAAAAATGCAGAGGCATTCAATGTGTGTAGTGCTTGCTGGCCACAGCAGTTACTACCAAGGAGTCTTCTGGGAGGGACCACTGTGTTGAAGGAGGCTCCTGCCTGAGGGAGGGCATCAGGCAGTGGGCTCTGTAAAGCGAGAACCAGGTGGACGCCTTCTGTGCCCAGCTCAGAGTCCTGCACCATGCCAGGAATGCCTAAGCCAAGGGCTACTGACGCAAGTTCCACTCATTCCACTCTGTGTGGGGGGACCTTGCGCCTCTCCTGGAAGGGCTCTTGGAGAAGGAATTGGAGTTACATACAAGTGACCTAAATGGGAAGCTTTTCTAGATGAGACTGGATTAAATTCATATGGTTTCTTTTTCCCTTTAATTCAGGTTGGGACTCGTTTCTTTCTGCTGGATCACAGCTGCCCAGATGTTGCAACCGATTTTTATTGTTTCTGTAGAGAAGTATTTTTCTTTCATCCTCAAGTTTTTTTTTTTTTGTTTTGTTTTTTTTTGAGACGGAGTCTCACTGTCGCCCAGGTTGGAATGCAGTGGCGCGATCTCGGCTCACTGCAAGCTCTGCCTCCTGGGTTCACCCCATTCTCCTGCCTCAGCCTCCCGAGTAGCTGGGACTACAGGTGCCCACCATCACGCCCAGCTAATTTTTGGGGGATTTTTTTGTATCTTTAGTAGAGACGGGGTTTCACTGTGTTAGCCAGGATGGTCTCGATCTCCTGACCTCGTGATCCACCCACCTCGGCCTCCCAAAGTGCTGGGATTACAGGCGTGAGCCACCGCGCCCAGCCATCTTCAGGATTTTTTTTGCCACCAAAAGAAAACATTGGAACTCTGTGTTTCCTCTTGATTGTGACTTCCCAGTGGTAACAGTTAAGTCCTTAGTGTCGTAGGTCCCTATATCACTGTTATGCACATAATGCAGCACTGTGATCTAATTTAAATAATAATTTGTTATTATTTATACTACTCTATATAATATACATCAACACTTTTGCTATATAACCTAAGTGATAACCCACTTTTAGTTACCTGCCAAACTCTGGACTTGGTTTATATCGCAGTTAATGCAGTTACATACCAAGTTGTAATGGTGTCTTTTTTTCCTTTGTAATGGAATGTGTAAATCAAAGTATATGCATTGTGTGGTGTTCCTGTTTCTGGAGTTTCATGAGGATTTACACATGGCATTCAGTATTCTGTATAGATCTGCCTTTGTGAATTCATCTGTTAACCCCTCTTCCTTTGAGAGCACCTGCGGTGGTGGTGAACTCCTTGTGTTCTCTCTCTCTCCTACTGGTTATTCTATAATTAAGCACAGACTCATCAGCTTGGTTGCTTTATCATGAATAATGTGCGTGACCTTGCAGTTCTTCCACAGTTCAGCAAACAAGTGCTAGCTTCACTGACCAAAAATTAAGGAAGGAAAACACAGTTTTTAAAATGATCCATCTTTTAACAGCTAAAACCAACGTGTCTATGGTGCTGCACCTTGCTGTTGTACTTGTGAAATCAGACCTGTGTGAACAATCATTTCTGACCTAACCGTGAGATGATCAGGAGTACCCTTCCGGTTGTTTTGTTAGTGTTGAAATCAAGACTATTTATTTGGAATATATACAACAGTGTTTTTCCACTGTATTTCATTTGCAAAAGTTGAGAACTGCTTTCTCTACCTTTTGCAAAATAATTGATATTCCATATTGGATTCTCAAAAACTTCGATATGGTGAACCTATTAAACCTAGAAATTGTATTCATCCTTTCATGACTGTGGCCTGAGTTCCCCAGCCCCTCTCCTCCTTTTTTTAGATGAGATTTAGCATACTGTCAGTTATTTAAACATGCAATATTTAAACATGCAACATTTCTTGAGTATGTATGTTGAGGCCAACTGAGCTCATAGCTGATTCAGTAATCAGTTTCATGCTGCGTCATTCACACTCGCTACTTAATACTGCCATGGTAAAAATGTGGAGGAAAAATTAATACTCTGATTCTGTAACATTTCTGAGTTTTGTTTTACGGAAAAAAAAAAACAAAACAAACAAAAAAAAGTGATAAAGCGATCAGACGACCAAGAGGTTTATTATTGATGCTTAGGGTCGTCTGACCTTGGTTGGCCAATAGACCTACACGGCCAAATTAATTTACAAGAGTATTAATTTTTCAAAAACCGATTTTTTTCTGTATTTTCTGTATGAAACTGCCAATATCATGAATAGAAAGGGAGGACCATAAAGGAGAAAGAACGTGATGTTCAGTGATGTTCGTGTGAACCTAAAGAAACAATGTGGAGGCAGGCGCCATCAGCCCAACCCTAGGAACTTGATGGTGTTGCTTAGAAGGCATCCATACCTGCATTTTGCATTCTTCATATGTAATCATATTGCCAAGGACAAACTATTTCATCACTTATTGTAAATAACACTTTTCCCCAGACCTACCATAAAGTTTCTGTGACATATTGTCTTCCAGTTGCAATAAAAATTACTGACCTGCATCAATTGAAAAAAAAATAAGCAAAAATGTTTACTGGGTATCCTTTCAATCAAATACTAGGTACATCCTTCTGAGTTACTTGATCTACAAAGATCTGTGCCTTGTTGCTACTGAGAAATCTTACTGCTATGTAAGTTGTGGAAAACTGATAGTAATGCAGATGACTCTTGTCCATAAAAATACAAATGGATTTGTCTACTAGAGATGCAGTTGGTTGTTGCTCAGTGGATATTAACCAGTTTTGCATATATTAGAAAATTGATTTTAGTATTTGATTGACTATGTGTGTGTGCATTCTTTGAGTTCTCCTTTGAACTGGTTTAATCATCTTACTGGTCTTCTCATTAACAGTTAACTGAAATATTTTATATATATTAATTTTATGTTTCTATGGCAGTTGTGATATTTACCTTTCTAAAAAAATGTTGTCTTTTAATGCAGCCTATTATGCTCAGATCAATGATCAGCAGGAGTACCTAAGTTTGGGTATTTGAAGGAAGCCTACCTTGCCATAAAAGGCTGAGTTGTACAGTTGGGAGAACTAAACCCCACACTCTGAAGTCCTGGTTTCAGCAAAGATTCTCATGGCTAAGAAACATGCGAAACTATCAAACGTCAAAGGACCACTTTAGTTTGAACAACAGGTACTTCGACAGTAATAAGCATAGACCAAAAGCCATAGAGGCCTTGCCAACACTCTGCTCTGTGCTAGGCCTTCGGAACATTGAGAAGTCCCTGAGTATGGTAGAGGGAATGGGGCAGATGAGAGAGCCCCAATTCTGTCTGAGATGGAACCTCTGCCCCCCAGGAGGGAGGAGGCTCAGTGTTGATTTTAATTTGAGTTGGTGGAATAGTAATCACACCTGCTACATTGGCCTTTGGGAAGTAAATGGAAAAGATTTACGCTGTGGGTGGATTTACAGATTTTGAACATGCCCCCCATTGAAGGGTTGGGGTCTTTTCATTTCAGCCTGACTTTAAGGTAGACTCTCTATCCCTATCTTGTTCTGTCCTTTTGACCATCCCCATATATTTTGGCTCTTCTTTCCATCCAATTTTTCTCTCTTAAGGTGTAATAATAGAATCTGTATACAGTGTTCAGGTGTCGATTTAAGATGTAGCTGTTTGTTTTATTAACAAAACCCTTTGCAACAACCCTTTGTTAACTGCCCAAATTAACAATAGACTACAAGCTCGGGTCACAATAAACAACGACTTCAGAGTCCTTTAACTAAACTGTAACTTGAAGCACCATGCTCTTCATCATAGGCACGCAACTCGATAGTTCACTCTAAAGGAATTAGAGTGAGTTCATCCATATTAAAAACAACTTTTTCTGCTACCATTTATTCTCATTAAGTTTGCACTTATCTACCTAAAAGAGATGACTTTTTTCTTTTTGGGTTTTTTTTGTTTTTTTTTTCCGAGATGGTGTTTCACTCTTGTCGCCCAAGCTGGAGTGCAATGGTACAATCTCGGCTCACCGCAACCTCCGCCTCCTGGGTTCAAGTGATTCTCCTGCCTCAGCCTCCCCAGTAGCTGAGGTTACAGGCACCTGCCACCATGCCCAGCTAAATTTTTTTTTATATTTTTAGTAGAGACGAGGTTTCACCATGTTGGCCAGGCTGGTCTCGAACTCCTGGGTCTCAAGTGATCCGCCCGCCTCAGCCTCCCAAAGTGCTGGGATTACAAGCATGAGCCACCACGCCCAGCCAAGAGATGACTTTCATATCAAAATGTGATCACTGTGGATTTTCTCCTACAGATGGTATATCATGACACTTCGTAAGACTTGCTTTGGCAACACCCCCAAAAGTTCCACGCTGAATAGCGTCCATCCCTTCCCTTCATAGCTACAAGCCATTCCCTATCTCACCTAAAACAGCCTCTGTTAACCCTAAAAATTTCAAAGATGACTTGAGTGTCAAATTAGATATTTTTAATTGTACTGCCGTATAATTTGCACCCATATGTAAAAGGCTTAAGCGTCAATTTGACTTTCACACGCCCTTCTACTATTTTCAAAAACTCTCATAAGTGTTACACAATGTCCTTTTTGGATTAGTGCCTCTCCCTCAATTGTTGGTTTATTATAAGGGAGGTGACTCGGTTCTTCATCATGGGCTCTGTCAGCGTACTAGGATTTGCAAGTCACTCTCACTGGCTGTAAGTACTCGGTAAGGTCCCTGGGTCACTTTTCATCAATAGGGCTCATAGTTGAAACCTATGAGCACTGGACCAGCAATAATGAGATGAAGAAGAGGGACCATTTTTCTATTAGTGCTCCCTTTATTTTCTAGGGAACATCTAGACTTTGGCATGGCCATCATAAGCCCTAGGGACTTAGTCCTACTCTTGGGCGATGTGGCTTAAAAAATGGGAGGCTGTCAAGTGTGGTGGTTAAGATGACAGCCTCTATAGCATGGATTCAGAAGCTGCCTCCACCATTTAGTAGGTATATGATACTGAGCAATCTCCCTAGCCTCTCTCAGCTTCAGCTTCCTCTGATGGAGTGAGGGCTTTGGATGCTAGCAGAGTCCAGACTTGATGGGACTAGCAGTAGGGAGTCACTTGAGGTCCTGAAACGAGAATGTAATCTGTAAAATGGGAGAATGCTACGTGCCAACCTCATAGTTTCTCAGATAATTAAATGAGTTCAAATATGTAAAGCTTTTAAACCACGGCTTGACACACAGTTAACGCTGTAATAAAAATTTTTTTGATTCTATATGAACTGCCGTACTACCCAATACCTCCAACTTTTTCATTTGCCATGACTTTCTTCTAACAGAGACAGGCAAATCTAGCAAGAAGTCTTCTCATAGGCTATGTCTCTAAGACACAGAAACCACTTCCCAATTAAGTGAAAAAAAAAAAAATCTGTGGCCAAAACATTGACTGATTGAAGTTTTCACTTTTCAATCGGCTGTTGTCAGCAAATCCTTGTTAATGAGTTGTGATAGCAAGGCTAATGCTGTAGACAGCAAAGTGGAGCCCCCAGCTCAGAGCCTTTTGTACAGTGTCCATATATAACTTAAACGGTCAATTATGCCTCTGAAATTATTTGGAAGAGTCTCCCTTTTCTTTTTTTTCTTTTTTGAGATTGGATCTTTCTTTGTCGCACAGGCTGGAGTACAGTGGTGCAATCTCCACTCACTGCAACCTCCACCTCCCAGACTCAAGCGATCCTCCCACCTCAGCCTCCCAAGTAGCTGGGATTACAGGCGGTGCATCACCATGCCAGGCTAAATTTTGTATTTTTTGTAGAGACAGGGTTTCGCCATGTTTCCCAAGCTGGTCTTGAACTCCTGAGCTCAGGCGATCCGCCTGCCTTGGCCTCCCAAATTGCTGAGATTATAGGCATGAGCCACCGCACCCAGTCTCTTTTTTCATGACTGCAAATCTTTTGACAGATTTTCCTTCATTCCTTAGTCAATACTGTTTCAAACTAGCCTTTCCACAACTGCCAAAAGAACCTTCCACAATCATTACATTCTCATTTCGGGACCTCGAGTGACTCCCTACTGCTAGTCTCATCAAGTCTGGATTCTGCTAGCATCCAAAACCTTCATTCCATCAGCCTCTCTTCACCACTCCAGAGTCATCTCTCGTTCTTCTTCAACTCACTTTTTCTTCTCCAACCAACTTCTCTGCTCCTCCCTCCCTCTAGGATGCTTTCTGTGACATCCTTAGCCCCCAGACTCTTCTTCTCCTCTCTACAAATCCTTTTGTCCTTTTGTCTTTGACCCAAACCAAGCACAGACCACAAGCAACAAATCTTCCAGCAAGGACTGTAGGCTGGAAGTAGGCAGGAGGAACAGATGGCAAGCAGATATGCCAGACTTCAGTGTTAAGAATAAAGCAGCAGGATTTCAGGCCACACAGTGAGGGTCAGTGTCCTGAGAGCTGGGACCAAGAAGGAAACAGAAAAGGATGCTTCAGCATTGACCTGGGAAGCACAAAGTTGAGTGATCATCATCTGGCCCTGAGGTGGAGGATTTTGCCTCTTTTTCCTGTGGAAGGGTATTCTGATTGAGAACCAGATGATGGGTGATAAGTCATACACTGAGATCATGCAGAGTTGGATCTTTATAATCCAATAAAATATCCCCTTTGCCTACTAACTGTTTCTTTTCTGTGTGCACAGAGCACTTTGTTTACTTTGCTAGTTCATTTTATCGTACTAGAATACATGGCATTTTTGCCTGTACTTGGCTGTGATTTCCTTGAGGAAAGAGACTGCTTTTTTGCTTATTTGGTTTTACCAAGGAAAAATCCATTTAGCTGCAAATGATGGAAAATGTGGTTACAGTGGTTTAAAAAAGTAGATGTTAATTTTCATCACTTAATAAGAGGTCTGGAGGTAGGCTATCTGGTGAAGTTACTCGAACATAGCCTTAGAGACCTGGGTTCTTTCTTTTTACCTCCTTTAGCACATTGACCTTTGTCCTTAGGCTGTGACCTCAAGGTCACAAAATGGTTGCTGTATCTCCAAGCGTCGTAACCAGCTTCCAGGTCAAAGGGACCTTTCTTTTTCTTTTCTGTTTTTTTCCTTTATTGGTCAGAAAAGCAAGAAAGTGTTCATTTATATCCCATTAGCCAGAACTAGGGATCAGGGCCATTCCCAGACCAATTGCTAGCCAAGGGGAATGAGACAACTAGTTGTGACACACAGCACAAGGTTCCTCAGCCATGACTCAGAGCCAGCTTTGCCAAACAATAACTCTGAATTTCACCTTTAGGGAGAAGAGCCTGCCCTTTCTGAGATCAAAGCATCTCCATAGCTATGCGTCCAACACAATAGCTAACATTTGTAAGTACTTACTAAATGTCAGACGCTGTTCTTAAGCAGTTACATGAATTCTCATTTAATCCTCAGAACAATCCTATGAAGTAGGAACTGTTATTCATCCTATTTTACAGATGAACAAACAAATGGAGGTGCAGACACATGAAGTAACTGGCCAAGATTACACAACTAATAGGTGACAGAACCAAGAACAGAACCCAGGCCTACTGGCCATCAAGTCTGTGTTTCTATCTGCTGTGTTCCCCAGCTGCTCATCTCTCTCCTATGCCACACAGGGTTAGTAAAGTCAGTTGAATGAATGAATAACTGAATCAATGAATGCACCTTCCTCCAGAAGGAGCCCTGAGCTGCTAGGGGCTTCCAGTGCTGTTTGAAATCACTGTTCTTCATCCATCTTCTTAATGAGGTCAAAGTGTTGTTATATGTACAGGATTTATTGCAGTTCATTGTGCTCTTGGGGCAAAAAAAAAAAAAAAAGTCTGAATTTTTTTCTGGGTTTCCTGCCTAACAGAAACTAAGAAAAAGAAGTCTGCAGAAGTCTGAGCTTTATCAGCAGACTGAAGTAAAACAACTGTACATACATGTGAGTCTCGGGCCAAAAAATGAACAAAATGCAAAGCATGTCCAGACTTCAGCTAAATCCTTGAAAATTCTAGTAGCATGTCCCAGCCTCATTAAGAAAGGAGGGGAGAGACACTACAGGGTCATCACAGATCAGAGAGCTGGGCTGTAGATACTGTCCCAGCACAGGATGAACTCCAAGGCTGCAGCTGCAAGATGCCAGACTTCCAAAGGACAATTGAGCAATTCTGCCAAACATTTCAATATTTTGTCTACCCGGTGCAAACATCTAGACTGTGAATAAGCGATTGAATTGTTCTGGTTTCATATGGAGATTTGGCACCACTGCAGATGTAGCTACAGGCCTCCTAAGAACTTTCAGAAAGCACTGAGATTCTGCCTCTAAGTGGAGACCAAGACAAGGTTACATAGCCATCGTTTGGTTTGCTAAATAGTTTTAATGTGAATTTCATCTCTCACAGGGTTGCCAGACCTAGAAAATAAAAATGGAGGATGCCCAGTTCAGTCTGAATTTCAGATAAACAGCAAATAAATGTTTAGTGTAAGTACATCCCAAAAAGCCTTTGCTGACCTGGGCATCCTGTATTTTACCTAGCAGCCCTCGTCTTTTGGGACACATAAACCCAGTTACATTTATGTCACTCTGCTCTAGCCCCAGCCATAAAGATGAGGCAAGTTCTCCTTTCCTTGTGTTCTCAGCCACGCACAAGTGAGAAGAGCACCTTGAGTGGCTATCAGGGGACTGGAGCTTTGTCCCAGACCAGCCACTAATGAGTTGTATGAGCGTAGACAAATCATTTTCATGGTCTCATCTATAAACTAGAGGCTGAAATTCTGAAAGTACATAATTCTTCTATCACGTCCCTCTGAACCACACCGGGGGCTGACCAATGACAGGTGCATGGCCACATTTAACCCTCGCCACAGCCCTAGCACAGTGCACACCAGCAAGTGAGGAGCCTGGAAAGTCATGAGGTCTCCAGGGTCCAGCCACTGTTAACGGTGATGCTGTAATTTGCCTTTGTATTGTATGAAAGTGGAAATCCAGATACTCACAGCTAAGCCAGGCTAAATTCCACTTCAGTGTAAATGATTTTCTACATGATGACACAAGAATGAAGGCAATTAGGGGAGGAGGCAAGTTCCCCTCTTGGAGAGCCTTGTGAGTCTCACAGGCCACCTGGCCCTGAGCAAAGGAGAAGCAGCAACTTCCGATGTCGGCTAACAGAGAAGCAAGGAAGGCGCCAAGCCAGCGATGAGGCCAGACCACACACCAGGCACTATCGTCTAGGAAATGTTGGAAGGGCTACTTCTCCTCCCTGTCCTCACAAGCTGTTGCCTCCCCCTGCCATTGCCTCACACCAACTCAAGACTGTGCCTCTTCTCATTTTCTCTTTTCTCTGTCTAGCTCCTTGGAGCTGCTAGAATGAAGTGTTAGGAACATCCTCTCACTTTGAATGTCCCAAGAGCTCAGCCTCCCTCCTGGCAACTGAGCACACTCCTGAGCTGTAGGAAGACTCTCAGGAACCTCTGGTATTCAGAGACTTTTCAGAGTTTGCAAAACCCAGATTTCAGTTCTCACAAAGGTCATAAGAGGTTGATTCCATTGTGAGTATGGTGCGGTCCTCTCTCCATTTAAAGGTGTGAGAGCAACATGGTTAGAAAGTAGCAAAGCCATGACTCCCAGACAAGTGTTCAGATTCTATGACCACTGTACCTTATGGATGCTAACTTGTCTACATGACAAGTTATGACTTGAGTATAGGACAATATTCTGTGACTGTCATGGTTAATTTTATGATGTGTCAACTTGACTGGGCTAAGGGATGATAAAACAGTATTTCTCAATGTATTTGTCAGGGTGATTCTGGAAGAGATTAACATTTGAACCAGTGGAGCGCATAAACAAGATCCATCCTCACCCATGCAGGTTAGCACCACCCAATCCACTGAGGGCCCATCGAACTCACAGAGGGCCCATTCACCCACTGAGGGCTCATCCAATCCACTGAGAACCCATTCAACCCACTGTGGGCCCATGCAATCCACCGAGGGCCCATCCAGCCCATTGAGGGCCCATCCAATCCACTGCAGGCCCATCCAATCCATTGAGGGCCTATCTAATTCACTGTAGGCCCATCCAACCCACTGAGGGCCCACCCAATCCACTGAGGGCCCAAATAGATCACAAAGACAGAGACAGGGCAAATTCTTGCCATGTCTGCTGGGACATCCAGCTTCTGCCTTCCTGGCTCTCGAGCCTTTGGGCTCGGACTGGGACTCAAACCACTGCACCACCCGATTCTCAGGCCTTCAGACTCAGACTGAACATTACACCACTGGATTCTCTGGTTCTCCAGCTTGCTGATGGCAGATTGTGGGACTCCTCAGCCTCCATAACCAAGTGAGCCAATTTCTACAATAAATCTCCTCTCACACAGAGATATCTGTAGATACAGCCATATCTATAGATAGAGTTAGAGACATATCTATAGATAGATAGATAAAGATATAGATATAGATGTTGTTTCTCTGGAGAATCTTAATATGTGACTGACATGTATATAGGCAAATGACAACACAACAGGAAACCATCAAAACGGGGTATTACCTGTAGCACTCCTCAACAGCCGAGCTAGGGAGGTTTTTTACAAGGATTCAGAGTTGACTGTGGTTTGGCCTGCACTCTCATTCAAACATAGTGAGAACCAGCTAAAACAAACAGGGAGTGGAGACAACCCTGTTAGAATTACACTCACTCTGGGCAACTGCGTTTCTAAAAATAATTTTAAGTTCTTGTCATCCAACTGGAGACAGGAAAATACTCCATTATTCAAGTCCCACAATTTTTTGCTGGGAAAGGAGCGCGCAATGAGAATAGTTATTAACTTCAGGAAGTAGAAAGCAAAATGCAGCTTAGAACACATTTGTTTGTTAAATAAAGACTGGACATAAACTCAGATCTTGCAGCTAAAACTATGGTCCTTCGTGTATGGAAAGAGCGCCTGAGAAATGCTCTGTGCCCTGATAAGGAAGTGTAAGAGGCCCACCTCTGGGGGCTGGAGATTAACTGTAAGAGTTAAGTGAGGAGGAGCCGGCTATTCTGGGAGTCAGATAACAGCAGTATTTTCGATTTTCTTTCAGTCTGGGCAGCAGCCATTCCTCAGGTTTAAAAGCAATCATAGTTACACGTTGTTTATTTCTCAATGAGATTTCATCAAGATTTATTGTGGTGTTATTCACAATAGCCAAGATATGGAAATGACCTAAATGTCCTTCCACAGATGAATGAATAAAGAAAATCTGGCATCTATACACAATGGAATATTACTCAGCCTTTACAAATGAAGATAATCCTGCTATTTGCAACAACATGGATCTACCCAAAGGACATTATGCTAAGTGAAATAAGCCAACTCAGAAAGACAAATGCTGCATGAGTCCACTGATACGTAACATCTAAAATAGTTCAGCTCATAGAAGCAGAGAGTAGAACGATGGTTTCCAGGAGCTGGGGAGTGGGAGAAGTGGGGAGATGGTCAAAGGGTACAAAGTTCCAGTTACGTAAGAGATACAACACACAACACAGGGAGTATAGTTAGTATATAGTATAATTAGATCTGTTAAGAGACTAGATCTTGTCTTAACTGTTCTTACCACAATAATAATCATGATAATGGGGATGGGAGGAAACTTTGAAAGGTGTTGAGTATGTCTATGGCCTTGTTGGTGATGATGGTTTCATGATTTTTTTTTTTTTTTTTGAGATGGAGTCTCACTCTGTCACCCAGGCTGGAGTGCAGTGGTGCGGTCTTGGATCACTGCAAGCTCTGCCTCCCGGGTTCATGCCATTCTCCCGCCTCAGCCTCCCAAGTAGCTGGGACTACAGGCATGCACCACCATGCCCAGCTAATTTTTTGTATTTTTAGTAGAGACAGGGTTTTGCCATGTTGGTCAGGCTGGTCTCGAACTCCTAATCTCAGGTGATCCACCTGCCTCGCCTCCCAAAGTGCTGGGATTACAAGCATGAGCAGCCGCGTCCAGCCCTATATATGTACAGCTTTTTATATATCAGTTGAACCTCAATAAAATTAGTTTTCAGTAAGAGATACAGAGTTCTGTTACTGTCATTCAAAATTGTTGGGAAAAGAAAGTGTCTTTTCTCTGTCCTTTTTTGCTATTTCAGAGAAGGAGGAATGGAAACCAATGTTCCCCAAGTGTGTTCTGTGTCTCAGATGAACAGACGTGGGAGGCAACCTCACACATGCTACTCTTTCATCCTCACGACATCCTATAAAGAAACTGAGGTCCAGAAAAGACACAACCTGATCCACGTTGCTCTCAAAGAAAGAGAAGACTTGGACTTCAGGCCCCAGGCAAAGCAGGACACAGCACTGCCACAGCAACCTGTCCCACCTGCACAGTGGTCCCAACAGGTCCCAGAAACAGGAGGGAAGGATGGGGGGCGTGAGAGGAACCTGCCCGTAGACCTGGCTGCCTCAGAACGCCTGGGTAGTTGGCTGGTGGTGAGAAGCTGCCTGCTTTCACCTTTAGAAATCACTACTATGGAGGCAAATCATTTCTCCCAGCAAGCCTGCACCCTGCAGATCTGACTCTATGTCTATCCGTTTTTTCATTTCTCTACCTTGGTTTTCTGCCATCAGTTTCTTCCTCAAGGCACACTGGCCTTGTTTATTGGTCCTGAAGTATCCTAAGCCAATTCTTGTCTGAGGACAGGTGAATCCCCAGTTCCCTCAGCCTTGACCACTCCGCCCCAGACATTTCATGACAGGTCACCTCCTGCCTTTCAAATACCAGCCTCATTGTCACCTTCTCGGTGAACCTTCCAGAAGCATCCATATTAAGTGAACAACACACCTGCCTCAGGCTCCCTCCATTACACTCCCTACCTTCATCCACAGCACATGTCACCGTCTGAAATTACTCTGGTTACTTATTGTGAGGCTTATTTAGTGCCTGTCCTCACTCCTCAACTACAATGTAACCTCCGCTGGAATGGGGAAGCGGGTTTGTCTTTCTTATCACTATATCCCCAGCCCCTAGGATAGTCCGTAGCATAAGACATCACTTGATCATCATTCATCAATCACTGTTGATTGTTGATTAGTGAATGATTAAATGAACGCCAACACCCAACTCCAAAAAAGAAAAAACCGATCTCTTTATATGAAGACGGAGCTGTACATTAGTATTAGTGAAACCCTGCGGGTGGTTCGACTTTGCAGCCAGCACTGAGAATCCTTGCTCTGAGGCAGATAAAGAACTGGCTCAAATATCTACCTCTTTGGGGGAAGGACTGTGGTATATTTTTACCCACTTTGGCAGGAAGAAGTGAATCCATATCCCTCCCCATTCCTATGAAATCAGCCATCCACATAAGTGCCCACAATGATAGGGATGGGACAAACGCATCAGCTAGCTGTCATTTTGGAAAGCAAAGAGCAACTTTTCACCATCAAACCATGACAATAAAACAGGTTAATGGCCAGGGAGTTATGGGGGAGAGAACTGTTGGGAGCATGGAGAGCCTCCTAGAAGGCCAGGCCCAGGAGTGGAATTGAAATAAAGGAACGATAGCAACAGACATCACGGCAAATAACAACTAGCACAGGCATTGAGGGACAGAAAGGAAACGGTCCCTTTGGACTGGAAAGCAGATCCCCGAGAACAAGTCCAGGTGGAAGGCAAAAATGAGATGTCTTGAAGGGAAGATTGGGTTTCCTTCATGCAACTGCTGGAAAACGCATGCCAAAATCCAAATTTGTGCTGTGTCCTCATCTGCCAATGAATTCTTCCTCCCCTACTCTCTCCAATCCTGGCCAAATATGACCTGTGGCTCTGTGCTCACACTTAAACACAGAGTTTTATACAGAGTAGGAATATAGAAACTATTAAAAGGAAAGCGGGCCGCTGTGACCAGAAATGCCATCTTGATAGCATAAATACACCCTGCCCCAGACGTCACTCCCTATGGCTCTATCTGGCCAAAATCTGTGTCACTCTCCATTTACTCCACCATCCGAGTTATACCCCCACAGGGTACCAAGCATGAAACAACTCCAGTTAAACATCACCCGTTTTGCAATTTCTCTTTCAAGAATTATTTGTTTCCTCCCATTATATTCTCAATATAGAATAAGCACTTAAATGCATTAAGAAGGAAAGAAAAGAAAATGTGGGAAATTTCAATGAGAAAGAAAATTTCCAAATGTCCAAACTATTACACGGGCTATCCTTGCTAATAATCAGAATCAGCGAGGTTATGCTGTGGTAACAAGTTAGTCTCAAAATTTCAGTGAGGATTTACTTCTCCCTTATGCTACACATCCAGAGGGGGTTGGTGGGAGTCTCTGCACGAGATGGGAAAGCCTGGAGACCTCCTTCCCACTCAGCCACGTTTCAGCGCAAAAGTGATGCGTGTCTCTTCCATTTCACTCATTGGCCAGAATTAGTCACATGCTCCCAACCCACCTGCTAGGAAGGCTGGAAGTAACAGTCTTCCCCAGTGTCCAGGGAAAGGAAGAAACAAAGCAAGTGCACCTGTGGCATTGTCTCCACCTCAATAGGACACAAAATCAGGGAGCCCTGAAACATCCAAGGCTTGAGCCTAGAACATTTGTCTCAATAAGAGCCTGTGGGAGGAGCTACTTTCCAAGAGTTCTGACTCCCCATAGTGAGGCTTTAAGAAGGGGACCAAAACGCTCCTGGGTGAGGCTTATTCCTGGATGTAGGACCTATCCTGGATTTCCTTATCTATGGATGGGACAAAGCCACATGGGGAGATCTGCATCCCCTTTAGTCTCAGAACATTGGTCTCCCTTCCTCCTTTTTCTCCAATTAGTCAGTAAAATGCATGCGCTATTAGCACTTTCCCTGCAGACTGATGCTGGGTCCTGATCATAGTAATCCAAGAAGGACACGGGGGAATCTGAAAAAGGTCCTTCTTGCTGAGTAGTTGGAAGTGTCCCCCCTTCTTTGGGGACTTTCCTATGCTCATGGGCACGTGTTTCAAAAATGCTGAGAGACCACTAAGACAAAATGAGATTGGTGAAAGACCCTACCCAGAATAAATATCATTGAATTGGGGGCAGAAGTCACAATTGCAGCTCATTCCCCCAACCTGTCCAGATAACGCCAACCACAAATTATGATGAATGGTTTAAGTGGAGAGCAGTGAGTAGATGACTAAGATGAAATTATTAAAATGCCACAATGGTGATAAGGGTCAGAGAGCCCAAAGGGATTCCTAGCCCTCAAATTTGAAATATTTAAACTGTCCCTGTGATACCAGGGAGCATCATGAGGCCAATAGCATTCCCTAAAGTCAGCAGATTGTTCCCTGCTCTCGAGAGATGTGTGCACCCCAGAAAGGACACAGCTAGAAGGAGGTGAGGTGGAATGAGAAGGCCAGGCTTCCGATGAAGGTAACACTGAAGAGTTCTAATCCCCAGGTCTAGGCATCAGCTCACTGGCTGCCACCAAAGTCCCTAAGGAAAAACAAACATTAGGCCGGGCATGGTGGCTCACACCTATAATCCCAGGACTTTGGGAGGCCGAGGTGGGTGGATTACTTGAGGTCAGGAGTTCGAGACCAGCCTGACCAACATGGTGAAACCCCGTCTCCACTAAAAATACAAAAATTAGCCAGGCGTGGTGGCATGCGCCTGTAACCCCAGCTACTTGAGAGGCTGAGGCAGGAGAATCGCTTGAACCTGGGAGGCAGAGGTTGCAGTGAGCCGAGATCACGCCACTGCACTCCAGCCTGGGCTACAAGAGTGAGACTCCATCTCAAAAAAAAAAATGAAAAGAAAAGAAAAGAAAAAACAAACATTAGAAAAGTGTATTTGGGAGAATTCACCTACCTCCTGTGTGAATCCCTCTTTTTCCTCTGGATTCTTCTCTCCTGCTTTCTCAGCTTCTTGTGCACCAAGACCCATTCAGGTCCGACTTCCCCCAAAACGGCCTTTGTTCTTTACTCAAATACTCAGAGAGGCTGTTCATCTGGTTATTTAATGAAAATAATTGTCACCAAATGTGAGTTGCATATTGACGGAGCAACTCATTAATAGAAATGAGTCTACAGCATGGTAGAGCACAGGGAGGCAGTGTCTAGAAAAGCAAGAGCCCCTCTCACCAGGCCTGGCGGCACACCTACCCTGGTCAGAAACCAGCCACCTGCAGGCAGGGACCATTTCAATACTGCGTACTCTTAGGAGCTTTCCTTCCCCACTTCCACCGTCTTTCTGTATTTCCCTCATTCTCAGAAAAAACACTCACACAGAAGCCTTTTTATCTCAGGTTCTGCTTTGAGGGAGATGCAGGCTGGTGATACAGGTGTTCTTAAGAAATAATTTCCAGGCAGCTACTCAGGGTAAAGGTTCTCGGAGGAAATTTTCCTGTAATAAAAAAACAGCCCCGAACCATCTCTTTTCTAACAGAAAAGGTGGCTTGAAGGGCCGGGCAGGCAACCTTTAATATGCAAATGCCAGCCATTTAGAAACTTGGTTCACTCAATGTGGCAATTACCGCTGTCTTTTCCTTGTCACTGTGTCCAGAATTGGTGGGTTCTTGGTCTCACTGACTTCAAGAAAGAAGCCTCGGACCCTCGCGCTGAGTGTTAACAGTTCTTAAAGGGGGCATGTCCGGAGTTTCTTCCTTCTAGTGGGTTCGTGGTCTCGCTGGCTCAGAAGTGAAGCTGCAGACCTTCGCGGTGTTACAGCTCTTAAGGCGGCGCAGCTGTAGTTGTTCGTTCCTCCCGGTGGGTTCGTGGTCTCGCTGGCTTCAGCAGCGAGGCTGCAGACCTTCGCGGTGAGTGTTACAGCTCATAAAAGCAGTGTGGACCCAAAGAGTGAGCAATGGCAAGATTTAATTGCAAAGAGCGAAAAAACAAACCTGCCACACATTAGAAGAGGACCCAAGCAAATTACTACTGCTAGCTCGGGCAGCCTGGTTTTATTCCCTTATCTGGCCCCACCCACATCCTGCTGATTGGTCCATTTTACAGAGAGCCAATTGGTCTGTTTTACAGAGAGCTGATTGGTCCGTTTTGACAGGGTACTGATTGGTGCATTTACAATCCCTGAGCTAGACACAAAAGCTCTGCACGTCCCCACTAGATTAGCTAAATACAGAGTGTCCATTGATGTATTTACAAACCCTGAGCTAAACACAGAGTGCTGATTGGTGTGTTTACAAACCTTGAGCTAGATACAGAGTGCTGATTGGTGTATTTACAATCCCTTAGCTAGACATAAAGGTTCTCCAAGTCCCCACCAGACTGACTAGATACAGAGTGCCTAATGGTGAATTCACAAACCCTGAGCTAGACACAGGGTGCTGATTGGTGTATATACAAACCTTGAGCTAGATACAGAGTGCTGATTAGTGTATTTACAATCCCTTAGCTAGGTATAAAGGTTCTCCAAGTCCCCACCAGACTCAGGAGCCCAGCTGGCTTCACCCAGTGGATCCTGCTCGGGGCTGCAGGTGGAGCTGCCTGCCAGTTCCGCGCCGTGCGGCCGCACTCCTCAGCCCTTGGGCGGTCGATGGGACTGGGCACCGTGGAGCAGGGGGCGGCGCTTGTCGGAGAGGCTCCGGCCGCGCAGGAGCCCACGGCGGGGGGCGGGGGCGCTCAGGCGTGGTGGGCTGCAGGTCCCGAGCCCTGCCCCGCGGGGAGGCACCTAAGGCCCGGCGAGAAACCGAGCACAGCAGCTGCTGGCCCAGGTGCTAAGGCCCTCACTGCCCGGGCCGGCGGGGCTAGCCGGCCGCTCCGAGGGCGGGGCCCACCGAGCCCACGCCCACCCGGAACTCGCGCTGGCCCGCAAGCGCCGCGGCACGCAGCCCCGGTTCCCGCCCGCGCCTCTCCCTCCACACCTCTCTGCAAGCTGAGGGAGCTGGCTCCGGCCTTGGCCTGCCCAGAAAGGGGATCCCACAGTGCAGTGGCGGGTTGAAGGGCTCCTCAAGCGCGGCCAGAATGGGCGCCGAGGCCAGGCGGCACCGAGAGCGAGCGAGGGCTGCGAGCACTGCCAGCATGCTGTCACCTCTCATCGCCAGGTGTACCAAGTGTCATGGCCACCTCCAGATAACACCGTGTGTTCAGAACATCATGGCAACCCACATTTACGTATTTAAAGGGCTTAGGTTGGAGGGCCAGGTTTTTCACGGGTTACGTAAATGACACATCTGGTCAAACCAATCCCCTGGGCCCTATGCAAATCAGACATCACCTCCACCAGCATAGGAATATAAGCAGCCACTTTTCCACCGCACACAGGGTTTTCTCTTTGTTCGAATCCCCCCCTCCTTCTGTCTCTGTACAGGGGAGCTGTTTTCTTCTTCCTTCCTTCCTTCTTTCTTGCCTAATAAACTTTTCGCTCCTTAGAACCACTCCACGTGTGTCCGTGTCGTTTTATCAAAATCGGTGCGAGACTAAGAACCATGGTGTTCCTCCAGCCATTGAAGCCGTATCACTGGGACAACTAGGCAGGGAACGTTGTTCTGACTACCCTCACAGCCCATCACCTTCTTCCTCTCTTAGCCCCTCTGGCCCCACACATTCCACCTGCTTCCAGGAGATCAGCAGCCCAGGTCCACAGCCCCTGGCAGCAGCACCCCTGGCCCCTCCGGAGCCCAGTTTTGCGTCTCCTGTTTCCTGTTCATCTTGACTCTTCTGCTCCTTCTGTTTCCTGTTCATCTTGACTCTCCTGCTCCTTTTCTTAACTGTTTTTTCCTGCATCAATTCATTTTGCCTTCTCTTTTTGTATGAATTTCCTATCTGCTGTAACAAATGACCACAATCATAATGCCTAAAACAACAAACATTTATTATCTTACAGTGCTGGAAATCAGAGGCCTGAAATGGGTTCACTGGGCCAAAATCAAGGTGTCAGTGGGGCCATGCTGCCTGCAGGGGCTCTGAGGGATAATTTGTTTTGTTGCCTTTTCTGGATTCTAGCAGACTGGTGAATTCCTTAGCTAATGCCCCTTCTGCCAATCACATCACTCCAGGCTCTGTTTCTGTGGACACATTCCTTCTCTGCCTCCCTCTTCCATCTTTTCGGAGCTCCTATGATTACATTGGGCAACCCAGGATAATCTCATCTCAAATCCTTACTTTAAGCACATCTGCAAACTCTCTTTAGCCCTGTAAATTAACATATTGCAAACTCCTAGGATAAGCACTTGGCTATCTTGGGGAGATGGAAGATACGTTACTCTGCCTTCCACATTTTTTAAACTTAGAGCATGGTTTTAATAATATTTTTTTAAAAACTAATGCTTCCAAATTTTGCTCTGTGTCCATCTCAGGATTATAAAACGCACTTGCTCAATTTAGAAAGTATCTCCTCTTTAAGAGGGATTCATATAGCTAAAAATGCACAAGTAACTTGCTAAAGAAGTCACCTCACACCTCCCCTGCTGACATGCAAGAACTTTTTTTAAGAACTTAGAACCTGGCGTTTACATTTTAATATATTAACTTCCATGCAAATTCAAATTCACATTTTTAGGGGGTGGATCCTTTAGATAATTTCATCCCAGAAAAAAAAATAGCAATGTATTATTTCCTTATAAATTTCCAAGAAACTGGCATTTTAAAACATCCATTGTTTTCTCCTAGAGAAAAAATTCTCAAAGTCAAGAAGTTCTGCTTCAGATCTCATATTTTCCTCTTTTGTTGCAATGGAGTTGGAAAACAGACCCTTGCTTATGCATAAAAATCTTTCATATATGTAATTTTTCCTCGAATCACAGAATTTAGGGCCGAAAGCAACTGTATGGATCATATTGTTAATCTCCTTCATTTCCCAGATGAGCAAACTGAGGCCCAGAAAAAGGACTTCCTCAAAATCAAGCTACTATGTAAAAGTTGTCTGCTTTTAGGTGCCTCTGCTCAAGGAGAAAAACTCCCAATTCTTTTCATATTTCTCCTACCATTCTTGCCTTCCTACCTTCCATCATTTTTGCTAGGTTTCCTTGACCTCCCTGCAAAGATCAAGTCTTCCACATGGGCCAACAACATCATTTGGGGCTTGGCCATCAGAACACCACCCTCCACACAGCTGTGGAAATTCTTCCAGTCCAAAGTGCATTCCTTGGCAAGTCTTCCGGGAGGGACGCTCCAAGGTAAAATCCGTCTCCTTCTCTTTCAGCAGACATAGTCTAAGGGTAAGACACAAATGTGTTTATTTCCTTTTGTTCATACACCCCTTTGCGAAACTGCAAAAACCTAAACTTGGACCCACTGAAGTGAGCAAGACACTGCACAGGATCTATGACACCAGAGGCCAGGAAAGACACAAGAGGGTCAGGTCCACCGAGTCCCGAGGAATTGACACATACATACTGTAAGTCTGCTGCAAAGACACATGGCCGATGCCCTCATTCATGTGAAATCCCCCTAGCTCAGCTTCCTGGCGTCCACAATGGGGCTGTGGCACACGTCTCCCTGCCCAGCCCATCAAAGGCAGGCTCCCATCCTCTCTTCACCACACATCATATGACCCCATTTCATTTATTTGCATGCTCACCTCATTTATTTATTGGTTTGTGTTCACTGTCTCCTCCCTCCTTCCACTGTTCCCCACTCTCACCACAAGAGTTCTCTGCAATTCGCTCATGTTTTCGTCTTAGCTCATATCAGCTTTGCCTTCCTCATGATGGTAAAGTCGCTACCAGCAGCAGAAACTAGGGCTTTATGATTCCTCAAACAGAGCCATTTCCCACAGAAGTCCTGAGTTTCTTTTTTTTCTTTCTTTTTTTTTTTTTGCAGTAGTGCGATCTCTGCTCACTGCAACCTCCACCCCCCTGGGGTTCAAGCTATTCTCCTGCCTCAGCCTCCTGAGTAGCTGGGATCATTGGCGCGTGCCACCACGCCTGGCTAATTTTTGTATTTTTAGTAGAAACGGGGTTTCACCATGTTGGTCAGACTGGTCTTGAACTCCTGACCTCGTGATCCGCTCCCCCCCCCCACCCTTGGCCTCCCAAAGTGCTGGGATTACAGGCATGAGCCACCGCGCCCGGCCCCTGATTTTTATGCTACCCGAGCAACTCTGAGCAAATCCCTGTGGCCAGAGGAAAGCTATGGGCTGTGTCTTAGTCCTTTTGGGGTGCTCTAGAAAAATACCATAGACTGGGTAGCTTCTAAACTACAGAAATCTCTTGCTCTCAGTTCTGGAGCCTGGAGAGTCCAAGATCAATGGGCCAGGAAATGTGGTGTCTGGTGAGGGCCCATTTACATGGCAGGAGGGCCAACGGGGTCTCTCTCAGGCCTCTTTAATGAGTGCTCTAATCCCATTCATGAGGCTCTACCCTTGTGATTTCATCACCTCCCAAAGCCCTCACCTGTTAATACTATCACTTTATGGGGTAGGATTTCAACATGAATTTTGGGAGGACACAAACATTTAGAGCATAGCAGCCTGTTTGGCTAATCCAAACGAGATGGGATTTCCTAGATGTGCTTATTCCAAGCAGCGCTTACCCTGGAACTCCAAACAAAATGCTAGGCAGCCACAAAATGCAGGCAGATGCTTCCTCCAAAGGGGAAGGAAGCAGAAAGGAAATGGATACCAAATGTGCCACCAGTGAATGTCCACAGCTACCAGCCAACCCCAATCTGTTTCCAAACCACCACTGCACTCCTGAGTCCCAAACAGGCTACACACATTTCTGGCCAAATTATTAGTCTATGTACACATAGATTGTACTTTAAATAATATAACTTTTTTTAAAATGAAGAATTGATTTTATGAGAGACTTCTGTGATCGCCTGAAAATATGGTTGCAAAATTCTACTTTGAATGGCTCTATGTACCTGTAGATATAGTCGTACATAATCTCCAAAGAACTTTTCCCAAACCTTAAGCCACTGCTTCATTAGGGCAAATGAGAAGCATGGTCTTCTGGCTAAACGGCTTTTTGCAACATCCAAAATGCGTCTTTGACTTTGAATCATTAAAAAGTTGGTCTTGATTTAGAGAATTGCTTTTCAGGGAGGAAGAAACTTTTGGCTGCATTCCTTCATGAAAGGGATGGATCAAGATGTATCTGGACAATGTGTTCAGATAAAAAAAAATTTAGACTGGCTCGTGTGTTTGGGGGAAAAAAATGAAACCCTGAATTTCAGAAAGTTGAATTGAGGGCTGTAAGTTTTCCAGATTCATATAGTTTTTAAATTTTCTGTAAATAACTTGTAGATTTATTTGTCTCCTAGGTTTGGGTAGAGTGAGTATTGTTACAGAAATAAAAGGTCACTGTATTATTTTCTGGCAACAAAAGTGTATAAATGTATTGAATCGGGATGTAAATATTTAACAGGCTTAATGTGCTTAATGCTATACTATTCCTAAAGGAAGTAAGCATACAGACCAACTGAGTAGAACAGAAACAGGGGTTTTAGGAAGATGGACCTCAGAAGATGGACTTCTCATTTTTTTGTTATTCCCCATCCCTTTACTTTCTCTCCCTATGCTATGAGTTGAATTTTGTTCCCCCCAAAATTGAAAATTAGCCAGGCATGGTGGCACATGCCTGTAATCCCAAATTTAAAAGATTTTGATCATTTTTTAAAATAATTGGAATGGTAAGGCTGAAAGAACTCACTTACCCTGTGCTATTGCAGGTGAGGAAACCAAAATCCAGAATGGTGAAAAGACTTGCTTCAGCTCCCTAATGCTCAACGCAAAGTTCTCACCAACCTAACACAGCCTTCTGGGAGGTATCTCCTCAGGAAACTACCATCTCAAGTAAGCTATTCAGTGCTCCTGGGTCAACCTCACTCAAAGGTTTAAGGTATTGTTTTTCCAACATACTGGGCTTGTATTTTACTAGTGTATTCATAGAAACACAAAGGATTAATCAGGGGAAGAAGTTTGAACTCCAAGCCTCAATTTAATTTTATACACTTCACATGAAGATTTTCTAACAGTAAATGTTTCTCCAACAGTTATATTTTCCTCCTTTACAAGCACTGGTCCCTGTATTTTGACAAATGGATATAACTGCCATACTAGTCCTAAAGGAAAAATATGGGAAATTTCAAGGGCCAACGTGAGAATTTTCTCACCCTAGCAGTTTACCCTGGGATCCTCAGCACTGAGACACAAAAGCAGTCCTCAAGCAGGTGGCTGGAGCTTGGCTTCTAGCAGATGGTCGGATCAGTGAGGTTGGGGAGGAAGGGGACTCTAAGGCAAGATTTCTGGACATGTGAGTCTCATTGTGTGCTGGGCAAGAAGCCGAAGAGGCAAGATATGTGTCCTGTTGGGGAGGGCAAGAAGGTCAAGGCTGTGACCTTGTGTGCACAGCAGACCTAGGTGAGTGGGGGTGCACCGAGGAGGAATGGTGAGCAGGATCCATCATGGCGACAAAGGCATAAAGTGGGGGTGAGGGTGGAGGGCAGTCTTCAGGAATGGAGTAGAGAATTAAGTAGAAGTTCAGAAGGTCAAGAGTCTTTGAAGCAGGAAGTTTGTACCAAAAGTTTATTGAGGAAGTAAGGATACAGACCAACTGAGTAGAATAGAAACAGGGGTTTTGGGAAGATGGACCTCAGAAGATGGACTTCTCACCTTTTCGTTACCCCCCACCCCTTTACTTTCTCTCCCTATGCTATGAGTTGAATTGTGTTCCCCAAAAAAGCATATGTTGAAGTCTTAACCCCCAGCACCTCAAAAAAGTGACCTTATTTGGAAATGAGGTTGTTGCAGATGCAATAATTAGTTAAGATGTGGTCATACCGGAGTAGGGTGGGCCCTTAATCTAATACAACTGGTGTCCTTATAAGAAGAGTGACATTTGGGCCAGGCACGGTGGCTCATGCCTGTAATCCCAGTACTTTGGGAGGCCAAAGTGGGCAGATCACTTGAGGTCAGGAGTTCGAGACCAGCCTGGCCAGCATGCCAAAAACCCCATCTCGACTAAAAATACAAAAATTAGCCGGGCATGGCGGTGCATGCCTATAATCCCAGCTACTTGGGAGGCTGAGGTGGGAGAATCACTTAAACCCAGGAGGCAGAGGTTGCAGTGAGCCAAAATTATGCCACTGCCTTGTAGCCTGGGCAACAAAGTGAGACTCCATCTGAAAAAAAAAAAAAGAGTGCCATTTGGACACAGACATATACAGGGAGGAGAATGCCACAGATAGAGGAAAGACAGCCACAAGAAGACACAGGGAAAAATTGGAGTTTTGCTGTCACAAGCCAAGGACTGCCTAGGGCTACTAGAAGCCAGAAGTGGTAAGGAATGATCCTAGAGGCTTCAGAAGGAGCACAGCCTTGCTAATGCCCTGAATTTAGACTTCTGCCCTTCAGAACTGTGAGACAATAAACTTTTGTTGTTTACGGCACCCAGATTGTGGTAATATGCACTATTTTTATAATTTTTAACCTCAACCAAATAAAGGAAAGAGAAGTAAAACAAAGATATTTCCAACTAGTTTTTAAGTTAGTCAAGGTCTACCCAGACACTGGCTGTCCCCAGGGCAGGCTCTGGTTTTGCCTCCCATCAACTTTGGTGCAGGATCGCCTTTGTGGTGAAGACAGGAGGGAGATCTCAATATCAATTTTCCTGAAGAAATCTTCTTCACCAAAATCTTTTCTTGTCCATGCTCTTAATCCTTTGGATTAAGGAGGCAACCTCCGCCTCCTGGGTTCAAGCGATTCTCCTACCTCAGCCTCCCAAGTAGCTGGGATTACAGGCATGTGCCACCATGCCTGGCTAATTTTTGTATTTTTAGTAGAGATTGGGTTTCTATTCTTCAAGTAGTTGAGAGAGTCTCAGTGTTTCAGAGCAAGTTTCTCAGAAATTCCTGATGAATATCTGCACGTGGACATTTGGCACCTCCATTTGAAAGTTCATGTCTGTTGCAGCTTGGTGCTGAAACAAGACTTTGTTTTAACAACTGTTGAAAGATTAAAAAACAACAGAGGCTTGCAAATATGATCAAGGAATGAGAATTTATTTTTAAATATTAAGAGATATTTAAAATAATCAAATACAATTTCTAGAAATAAAATATGTAAGAATTGGGGTTTAAAATGGGATGGATGTGTGATGAGGTAAGGTTTGACTGCCACAGAAAGAGGCCTAATAATCATTCGACAGGTTTAAAAAGATGATGGTTTAATTCCCTCTCATGTAAAGTCCGAGGTGAACATTGCAGCAGGCAGACTGCTCTGCTGAGTGGTCACTGAGGGATGCAAGTTCCTTCCTTCTTCTTTCTCAACTATCCCCTAGGACATTAATCTCAGCTGGTCACAGGTGCAGGTGATAAGATAGTTTTTATTTTTCAATGCTTTTGAACCATTCCTTTTTTAAAATGTAATAAAATGAATTATCAGAAAAATGACTACATTTGGGTATTGTGACAATGTTGAATTACTGCCGTGTTTCTGAGTGCTTTTCTTTCCATTTTCCAACTTATCCCATTGCAAACCAGTGACAGTTTAAGGACTTGCTGTGTTCTGGAGACAATTTTAGGATAGCATTATTCTAGCTCACAAGAAGGAGAAAAGCTATAGAAGAGATGCACCTGCTCTGTTAACGTGGCCCACATTACTTCCAGTCACATTCTATTGAAGCGTTAGTTACCTGGCCACATGCAACTGCAAAGGTGTCTGAGAAATGTCACCTAGCTTAGTATCCAGGTGTCCAACTACAATATCATTAATACAAAAGAAGGAGATAACGGACTGTTGTGTTCAGCAAGTTGTCTCCATCACAAATAGATCTCAAAGCATACTGGACAGAGTGCATCAGAATAGGAATAACTTAAAGGCTAGAAACAAGAAAATTATTCAGAAGTTCCTCCAGAGACAAAGAAATAGAAATACAAAAGAGATGAGTCCTGAGGAGGTCAATAGGCTGTATCTTAGTCTATTCCAGCTGTTATAACAAACATGTCATAGACTGGGTGGCTTATCAGCAATAGAAATTTATTTCTTACAGTTCTGGAGGCTGGAAAGTCAAAGATCAAGGTACTGGTAGGTTTGGCTCTTGGGGAGGGCCCACTTCTTGGTTTATAGATGACTGTCTTTTTGCCGTGTTTTCACATGGTGGAAGAGGCAAGGGAGTTCTCTGCGGTCTCATACTTTTTTTTTTTTTTTTTTTGAGATAGAGTCTCACTCCATCGCCCAGGCTGAAGTGCAGTGGCCTGATCTTGGCTCACTGCAACCTCCACCTCCCAGGCTCAAGCGATTCTCCTGCCTCAGCCTCCCAAGTTGCTGGGACTACAGGCAAGTGCCACTATGCCCGGCTAATTTTTTGTATTTTTAGTAGAGACGGGGTTTCACCATGTTGGCCAGGCTGATCTCTAACTCCTGACCTCAGGTGATCTGCCCACCTCAGCCTTCCAAAGTGCTGGGATTATGGGCATGAGCCGTCATGCCCAGCCTCTGGGGTCTCTTCTATAAGGGCACTAATCTCATTCATGAGGTTACTGTTCTCATGACCTAATCACCTCCCAAAGGTCTCTTCTCCTAATACCATCACACTGGGGATTAGGTTTCAACATATTAATTTTTACTAAACATTCAGTCTATAGCAGTCAGAAGGGGTAGAAACAACGTTTAAAGCAATTCCCTGAATTGTTGAGAGATACCAATACTCAGATTAACAAAGCACAGTGAATCCCAAGCCAGGCATTGTTATAACAGCCTGGCTGTTATATGTATATGTATATATAATTAAATATGTATTAACACATTTAATCCCCATAGCAACCCTATATGGAGGTGCTATTATTATTAGCATTTTACAGATGAGGAAATTCAAGGCACAGAGAGGGTAAGTAACTTTCCCAGTGTCACATAACTAGCAAGGAGCAGAGATAGTTTACCAGTCTCCCACTACAATGCTGTATAATCTCTCAAAAAAATCTTCACTGTTTTATGTAATAACAAAGACATTGCTTTAAAAAATAAATATCTTGACCAGACACTGTGGTTCACACCTGTAATCCCAGCAGTTTGGGAGGTTGAAGTGGGCTGATCACTTGAGGTCAGGAGTTCGAGACCAGCCTGGCCAACATGGCAAAACCCTGTCTCTACGAAAAATACAGAAATTAGCCTTGTGCGGTGGCAGGTGCCTGTAGTCCCAGCTACTCAGGAGGCTGAGGCAGGAGAATCACTTGAACCCAGGAGGTGGAGGTTGCAGTGAGTCAAGATCGTGCCACTGCACTCCAGCCTGGGCAACAGAGCAAGACTGCATCTCAAAAGAATAATAATAATAAAAATAAAATAATAAATATATGGAATGTTTTTATTTATGTCTAATTATTTACCTTAAAACTTTGCCTTGGTCAATACATCAAAGTATGACTCAACTGTAAATCTTCCTGGGAAATATGGCTGACTTGGTGCATATTTCTATAAATCTCTCCTAGGAATCCACCAAAAATAATAAAAAATAAACCAAAGAGTATAGAAGAAAAATTGTATTAGCAGTGAAGTTGGGAAATGGCGGCAGCTCTACAGCACAAACTCTGAAGACTCTATAGCAGACTTACCTGTCTTCATCTAATCATCAGAGACACCAGAGGACGAGAGGTCACACGTGCATTGCACTTGATCTCAGCCAAAAGCCAAAGAAGTGATTCACACATGAATTGTTGTTCTTGTTGATCATCGTGGAGATGCCATCTTCTGTCACCCTAGAGGTGTTTCAAGAGACCTGTCTTACTCGGCATCCCAGAGAGATGGAAACACAGTACACTTTCCTATGTTCCATTTTCTCTCTGCTTCTCAGAATAATACCTCTCTCTACTCAGCCCCAGACAACAGGGAAACTAAAGGACTCCTAGCTCCAACTCCCTTACCAAGAAGCTTTGCGACCTTGGGCAAATCACTTTGCGTTACTGGACATGAGCTTCCTCATCTGTAAGTGAGAGGTTTGATTTGCACCAGCAGCTTTCAGACCTTTCCAAGACTCAAATCTTCTTCTCCTTGCAAAACTTGAGACAGAAATCACATATGTAAAATCAAAAAGAAAAACAAGGCACTGTGGCTGAATCAGAGGAGGGGTGGAAGCCCCGCCCATCAGGCCTTCCAGTTTCATCCCATAGATTGGGTATTAAAACCCTTCAGCTCCTCAGAGCAGCTTGAAAACCACCAGTTTCTGTGCACATTGACATCCTTTCCACCTATGACAGCTGATGATTCCCTCACAAGCCAGATGACTACATATTGGTCTCTGCTCTATTCTTTGAAAAAGAAACATTAAGAGTGGGGGGAGGAAGAGGAGGATGAAGGGGAAGAGAGGAAGAAGGAAGAGGAAGGGGAAGAGAGGAAGAAGGAAGAGGAAGAAAAGGAAGGGGAGGAAAGGGAGGAGGAGGAGGAGACGAAGAGAAGAAGAGGAGGAGGAGAGGGAGAAGAAGAAAGAGGAAAAGAAAAACTAGGTATTTTTTAAAAGCTACAAGTTATTTTCAGGCTTGAACCCAAACAAAATCTGACAGCTGTCTTTGCTTTGAGATTAATTAACATGAGGTAACTAAACAGGACATTTATTAACAAGAATTATGTAGCCATATCCCTTTTATGCACCATCCTATTAACATGTCTTGCAAAAAAAGAGTCATCTGTGGGTCACAGATCTCACCTGGGGAACAGGGAAAGGGGGAACCAAGAACCCCATCCCTCCAGGCCCGGCAGATTGGTGATGACAGCTCTGGCTTAAACCAAACAAACATGTCAGCATCTAGTTTCTTCCACCTGAAAATTTATATCATCACTCTATGTAAGAAAATCTGAAAAGTACCAGCAAACTGGAAACATGGAACAAGAACAAAAAGCCTCTTTTGTCTTGAGGGCAACAAAATAAAGTGGGCTTCTTTTTTCAAACCATAAGAAAAGAATTACTCACTTTAAGCTCTCAAGCTGACATTTTCATGAGGAAACAAATTTGGACAATTTCATTTACGGCTTGCAAATACTGAATGACCTGGAGAGCTAAACAGTATTTCCACAGACATCTGACCTCCTCTTCCTGGCCTGTAGATGTTAATTCAGCCTTGCCTTTTCTCTTCTCTATATATCCCTAAGGGTGCCTTTGGGATTTTTCTATTTATTTGGGGTGATTTGGAGAATGAGTATTGTGTCTATCTGCCATATGTTTCTTCTCAATGTCAGTAGCAAAGTAATTCTTACACTTAAACTGTGCTGAAGGCTATTAATATGAGAATGCATTGGTGTTGCAGAAAATAGCCCATTAGTTCAATCTCGAAGAAGCTATCCCTTCTCAGGGCACACCGTGACGGGCCACTGATCAGCCTCCTCTGACCAACATGGGTGCTCCTCACCACCCGCTTGCCCACGTCCCCTGGTACTGTCCAACCCAACCCTCAGATCCTCAAACCAATCTTACTGTATTCCATCCAATCCAAGATCTCACCAATTCCAAGATGTACTGCTACTTTATGTAACTTTAAGAAATAAAAATCTCTGCCGATGAAATTCTGACACTATGCTTTCTTAATGATTAATGCTCAGAATTGTTATTTTATGCTTCTCAAAGGAGTTCTTGTAGCCTTCTTTAGACATAGGACTGAATCGTTTATTGCTCTTGTGCCTACATAAAAATGAAAATACATGCTGAACTCATTGATTACGGTATTTCCAAAATCTCCTCATGTTGAGAGTCTGGCACTTCTGAATCGCTTTCAGCTCTGAGGCATCGATGTCTGTGTTATTTCACATCCTCCGAGCTTTCTTTCTCTGAGCCCTCAAGAGTGTTGATGACTCGGTATCTTCAGTTCCCAGCAACTCTATTGCCTTCTAGATTTTTTTTTTCCCCAAGGCCTGGACAGGCATTCTCAAATTTTTGATGTTGGCACTTTCTTGGCCTAACCAGAAGGTGTCAGTGGGAGTTTTTCAGAAGGCAATTGAGACTGATAAGCCTCCCTCAGATGGCTCTTCTGTTGTCCAGCCATGCCATCACCAACAACAGTAGAGATCTCGTGAGTCCAGGCAATGACAATATGTCACGGCTGCCACCTGACCAAAAGTGATCGTGAGATGGCTATTGATTCTAAGGCTATTCCAAAGCCAGAAAGGTGAAGAGCTGAAGAAATATGTGCCATAACATTGAGGAACTACAGTGTGTATACCGTTTTCTCTGCAGTGTTCTTCGCTGCACTTCACCCAGTCAATAGACTACTGCCGTTCAGTTCCCAGCTCAAAGGATACTCTCTCTGGGAGGCCGTGGTCTATCTGGCCTCCCTTCAGAGCCTGTATCTCAGTCGGTAATTACACATTTACAAGGGTGGTTACAATACCAAGGGAGAAATAAGCAACATATTAAAAAAATGAGGATGTGAATTCCTGATTGAATTTGCATGCAAATGTACAGCCATATTTGTAGTAAAGTTTTATCCAAGTATAAGGAATGGACATTATCATCACTCATTCACTCATTTATTCATTCAACAACTGTTTATTGAGCATCCTTATGTAGTGTGCATTTGTGTGGAGGAAATAGATAATAAGCAAATAAGTGTATAATATTTAGCCTGAGCAACACAGCAAGACCCCGTCTCTAATAAAATTTTAAAAATTCACCAAGAATGATAATGTGTGCCTGTGGTCCCAGCAAGAGGACTGCTTGAGCCCGATAGTTCAAGGCTGCAGTGAGCTGAGATCATGCCACTGCACTCCAGCCTTGGTGACAGAGGGAGACCTCATCTCTAAAAAATATATATATATATTTTTTAATTTATGTATATATACAATATCACATCATATATATATAGTGTGTGTGTATATATATCCACAATATGATGTGATATATAATACACAGTAATGGGTTATATCTAAGAAGATAAAGCAGGAAGAGAGAATGGGGCTATAAAAGAGCCGTTGTAGATATGACTTCCAGGAAGACATCTTGGAGGAGGTGACATTTGAACTGACCCCTAAATAAAGAGAGAAGAAGCTCATGGAAGTATCTGCTGGAAGAGCATTCCAGGCAGGGTGTAAAGACAAAAGCCTGGACATGGAAGCATTTGGCATGTTTGAAGGACAGCAAGAGGGATATGTAATAGGAAGTAGTGACAATGGGTGAGACCTCTTCCTCCTGCATCCTGAGCAAGGAAGAGGGGAGTCACAGATACCCTGAAGGCCACATGAGAAGTACTTGGGGCTGGATAAGCGGGCTGGTTATGCTGATATGTACTCAAGGGCCCTTTGACTCAACCATGCTGATTTCCTCAGTGATTTTAGGGACAACATCCCAAATAGTAACATGAGTGAGTTTCACCACTCCCCTTTCCATACCTGGCCATCACCCACTTGAATCCCCACCTACCCAGAGTTCCTGTGGCTAAGGACATTTGTGTCTTAAGGTCGTCTTCACTGCCGGGTGCAGTGGCTCACACCTGTAATCCCAGCACTTTGGGAGGCCAAGGCGGGCAGATCACGAGGACAGGAGATAGAGACCATCCTGGCTAACACAGTGAAGTCCCGTCTCTACTAAAAAATACAAAAAAAAAATGGCCGGGCATGATGGTGGGCGCCTGTAGTCCCAGCTACTCGGGAGGCTGAGGCAGGAGAATGGCATGAACCCGGGAGGCAGAGCTTACAGTGAGCCGAGATCGCGCCACTGCACTCCAGCCTGGGTGACAGAGTGAGACTCCTTCTCAAAAAAAAAAAAAAAAAAATCCTCTTCACAGTAAACATTGAACAAGAGGAGTGTGTAGGGCACAACTTTTCTTTATCCATCTTTCCCTTTCAGTCATTCCCTACGGGACTCGTTAGCCTCCTGGCCCCAGATGAAACCTCAAGGCGACTCTGCAGACACTCATTCTTACATCAGGGTGGGAAAAGTAGGTAGCATTGACCCAACGTCAAAGAGAGGAACAGGAGAATTGTTATAGTCACCCTAAAATCAATCTGTCATAGAGGCCTCACAGTAAGCCAATGACAATGGTATCATATCCAGAAGAAGAATGTAGGTCCAGCCCAGACGACATCAAAGGTCTGCTCTGACTTTCAAACGTGGGTCCCTGACCTAATATTTCCAATGAAAAGCCAAAAGCAGGGTTGGGTCTGCAGGACAGACCAAAGTGCAAGGCGATCAAGGAATGCCACAAAGGCTCTGCCTTCGGAGCAGACAACCACACTTGCGTCCTGGCTTATGTGTTCTTTCAGTTTTCAAATCATTCTAAACAAACCCAAATTTATATTTCTAAATTTAGCAGCCCTCAGTTTGATTCTGATCCTGTCTGGAGACTGCGTGGCCTCCTGCCAGTGATTAAATTAGTCTGTGGGATATCTATTGCTGTGAGCTAACCAATGGTCATGTGATATTTTTAGCAACCGTAATATAATGTTGGTAGAATTGTGCGTTTTTATGACTTTGTAAAGTAATCTCTAAAATAGTTTAGAAATGGTGTCCCTTATTAACCCCACAAAGGCTACGGACATCTGCAATAATAGAGAGAGACACACTGGGAGCTTGATTCCTGAGACTGGCAAGGTCAGATTACATCTGTGTGTCAAGTCCCTCCGACAGACACCACCCTCGGGCCGTGTTGGGCAGGGGTCTCTTCTTTCTCTGATAAGCTATTTCTTTTGTCATGCTAGAAAAAGAGGTAAGAAAGAAGTAGGGAAGGTCGGGTGCAGTGGCTCACACCTGTAATCCCAGCACTTTGGGAGGCTGAGGCAGGTGGATCACTTAAGGTCAGGAGTTCAAGACGAGCCTGGCCAACATGGTGAAACCCCGTCTCTACTAAAAATACCAAAATTAGCCAGGCGTGGTGATGCGCGCCTGTAATCCCAGCTATTCAGGAGGCTGAGGCAGGAGAATCACTTGAACCCAGGAGGCAGAGATTGCAGTGAGAAGAGATCGTGCCACTGCACTCCGGCCTGGGCAACAAGAGCGAAACTCCGTCTAAAAAAAAAAAAAGAAAAAGAAAAGAAAAGAAAGAAATAGGGAAAGCAGGTGAGAGCTCTTCCTAAACTAGCCATGTCTGCGTGCCCTGACCGGCCCACTTACTGCACTAAATGCATTTCTTAGGGCCCCCACATGCCCTACCCCTGCTGCGCTAATTCCCACTCCCAGAGCGCATCAACACATTCCCATGGCTGTGGTTTTACTCACATAATCGCTTCTGCCCAGAAGCTTTCTGCAGCATCTCTACCTACCAAGCCACCCTTTAAGGCCCAGTTCAAATCATGCATTTTCCAAGAAGCCTTCTCACATCATCCCAGGCAGAATTCATCTATCGCTGGTCTTTATATAATGCCTTTAATGATAAAGAAGAAATCTTCTCTTCTTTTTTTTTTTTGAGACAGAGTTTTGCTTTTATTGCCCAGGCTGGAGTGCAATGGCGTGATCTCCGCTCACCGCAACCTCTGCCTCCTGGGTTCAAGTGATTCTCCTGCCTCAGCTTCCCGAGTAGCTGGGATTACAGGCATGCGCCACCACACTCGGCTAATTTTGTATTTTTAGTAGAGATGGGGTTTCTCCATGTTGGTCAGGCTGGTCTTGAACTCCCAACCTCAGGTGATCCGCCCACCTCAGCCTGCCAAAGTGCTGGGATTACAGGTATGAGCCACCGTGCCCAGCTGAAATCTCATCTTTTAAAGTGCTATATGATGGTCATTTGAAGCAAGGAAAATCTGACAAACTGTCTCAGCCAAGAGGAACCTAAGAAGACAAAGCAACTCAATCTAATACGGTATCCTGGATGGGAACCGGAAACAGAAAAGGGGCATTAGATAAAAGCTGAGGAAATCTGAGTAGAGGATGGACCTTGGCTAATAGTAACGTATCAGTAGCAGTTCATTCATTGTAACGCATGTACCACACCTGTGTAAGATGTTCCTAATGGGGGAACTGGGTGTGGGGGATATGGGAACTCCCTGCACTATCATCACAATTTTTCTGTAAATCTAAAGCTGCTCTAAAAGAAAATGCTTACTAAAAAAAAAAAAAAAAAGAAAGAAAAAGAAAAAAATGGGAGGCTGAGGTGGGCGGATCACAAGGTCAAGAGATCAAGATCATCCTGACCAACATGGTGAAACCCTGTCTCTATTAAAAATACAAAAATTAGCTGGGCGTGGTGGTGGGTGCCTGTAATCCCAGCTACTCAGGAGGCTGAGGCAGCAGAATCGTTTGAACGCAGGAGGCAGAGGTTGCAGTGAGCCGAGATCGCACCACTGCACTCCATCCAGCCTGGTGACAGAGCAGAACTCCGTCAAAAAAAAAAAACAAAAAACACTTCTGCCAGCCTGCTGTGTCATTGATTGTTACTGAAGAACAGAAAGGACCACCACAGTTGAACCTGCTAAAAGTTAGAAAATCAACAGACAGTCTTTGCCAATCTCATCTGCCCCAGGAGAGTACACAGAAAAGCCCAGAGCATAGGGAACAGGTCCCTGGGGGCAAACCCTTCTTGTTTATCCCGGCTTCAAGTGCATTAGGGGCCCAGATCTCCTCAAATATATGAAAGTGAAGATCATACAAAGGCAGAGACTAAAGGATGTGTGACACTGGAGTCATGTGCAAGGTCTTTCTGAACAGAGAATAAAATGTCATTGATACAAAAAAAAATACTGTACGAACCTTTAGGGAAAGTAATATTCTAATATCTATTACATTTAAAAATTCTTAGGCCCTTGGCAAAGCAGTTTCATTTGGGGACTCAACTTTTAAAAACTGGTAGTATAGGGCTGGCTGCGGTGGCTTCCGCCTGTAATCCCAGCACTTTGGGAGGCTGAGGCAGGAGGATCACTTGAGGCCAGCAGTTCAAGACCAGCTGGGGAAACATGGCAAAACTCCATCTCTACAAAAAATACAAAAATTAGCGAGGTGTGGTGATGCACGCCTGTAGTCCCAGCTACTTAGGAGGCTGAGGTGGGCGGTCACTTGAGCCCAGGGAGGTCAAGACTGCAGCGAGCCATGATCATACTACTGCTCTCCAGCCTGGGCAACAGAGCAAGACCCTATCTCAAAGAAAAATAACAACAACAACAACTAATAGTAGCAAGCCAGACATGTGGCTCATGCCTGTAATACCAGCATTTTGGGAGGCCAAGGCAGGAGGATTGCTTGAGGCTAGGAGTTCAAGACCAGCCCAGACAGCAAAGGGAGACCTCATCTTTACAATTTTTTTAAGTTAGCCAGATGTGGTGGTGCACACCTGTAGTCCTAGCTACTTGGGAGGCTGAGGTGGGATGATAGATCAAGCCCAGGAGTTTGAGGCTGCAGTGAGCTATGATCACATCACTGCACTCCAGCCTGGGTGACAGAGTGATTAAAAAAATAACAAAATAAGATAAAAAACTGAGTAGCAGAACCTGAGAACATGCAAACAACGATCACTGAAGAGGCTCAGACAGGGAAACAACTGATTATAAACAGGAAAATGTCTACTAGTTGTGGTATAGGCAAGTCACAAAATTGCATTGCAGCCATGAAAATAAAAATCGACTTTTAAACTGAAAGGGATGTTTCTGATGTCTCAAGTGAGAAAATCAAACCATAGAGCCATGTAAATGGAACCAGTTTTGTCAACACAAATAACTACCGGTGGCTGGGGGAGCAGTAAATGAGGAGTGAATGCTTAACAGGTACAGGGTTTCTTTTGGGGGTGATGAAATTAATTGTTCTGGAATTAGATACTGATGCACAACATTTTGAATGTACTAAAAGCCACTGAATTACACACATTAAAATGGGTAAAATGTTGAATTTTGTGTTATGTATGCCTATTTTACCTCAATCAAAAAAAACTAGTAAGTAATTCATGTCTTAGTCCATTCAAGCTGCTATCACAAAATACCATAAATTGAGTGGCTGATAAACAATAGAAATTTCTTTCTCACAGTTCTGGAGGCTGGGAAGTCCAACGTCAAGTTGCTGGCAGATTTATTGTCTGGGGAGGGCCTGTTTCCTGATTGCCAGGTGATGCCTTCCTGCTGAGTCCTCACATGGCAGAAGAGGCAAGGGAGTCCTCTGGGGTCTGTTTTATAAAGGCACTAACCCCATCCATGATGGCTCTGCTCTCATGACCTAATACCTCCCAAAAGCCACACCTCCTAATACCATCACATTGGGGGTTAGGTTTCAACATGTGAATTTGCGGGTACACAGCCATAGCAACTGGTAAATCCTATGTCTGTGTATATTTTCCAAGTGCTTCTCTTAGCGTTCCTTTGCAGGGAAAGAGCTTCTTGGTAAAGAAGACACTTGGTATTGATGAGGGGTCTATGGAAGGAGAAAGAACCTCCCAGTCCTGTTTGGATCCCAGGGTTTCTATGGAAGGAAATGAATCTGCCAAAGGAAAATGGCAGGAGTAAGGGAGAGGCCTGGGGGAGGATGGAAGAGGTTCAGGCCTCATGGCTGGGGCTGGGAGGGGAGATTAGGGAGAAACTGTGGAATTGGCATGTTTTGGGTAAACTCTAAGTATTGAGAATTTTACCCCTCCACCATCACATGCCACAGCTCCAGTAAAGCATCAGACATGCTCACTGACACTCAGCAATGCATGCTTAGAGTGTTTAATTTTCAAGTGGAGGCCAAGGAAGGAGATGAGCTTTGTGTGGAAATCCAGATGCAGCCAAAACCAAGAGAGCCCATGAGGCTCAGAGGACAACCTTCAGTGGGTTGACTTCTTTACAAGTCATGTCCCTTCGTACCTCGGTTTATTGAGGGCACACCTGCTCCCAGAGGACATGGTTAGGATCTTGTTCATCTTTACGGTCCCCACAGTACTTAATACAATGCCAGGCATACAGTAGGTGTTCAATAAACATTTATTGAATTGAATTGAATAAAAAGATAGATTTTCTTTTTCTATTCTTTCTTATCGAGAGAGAAGTTCCCAGCTTCCTGATACTGACAAAGTTAACGCTCATCCCCAACATCCAAAGGACTTTAAGGCCTCTGTCCAGTCTTCTCTGTCCATCTCCTGCATCAGGGCTTTTCTCTGTGCAGCCCTGCCGTGCAAGAGCAGGCACACAGGCACCTAACACATGCTTACACCCAGTACTCCAATCTGTGGGGATTCTATTCAGGCCAGAAGCCAGGATGTGAGAATAAACTGTCAGTGCCCCTCATGAGCAGCACAGAATCTGTTGAACATTTTCCAGGCTGGAGTCAGCTCCTACCTTCTGGTTTCTTGTGCACCATTGGTGGATTTGCAATCTGCACCCGCTCTGCTGCCCTGAGAAAGAGGCTGCAAAACATACACATGAGCAGATCACATATTTTTTTGGCCTTGCACCACCTGGAACAAGTTTAAAGTCAAGGTGACGGCCTCTGACATCTGCTTAGCTCTGTACAGTTTACTAAATTCTTTTATGGGCAGTATTATTTTGACTTCACAATAACCCTAAGAGGTATGCAGGGCAGGTTTTATTAGCCCTATGCCTTGGATGATCCAACTGAAGATCAGAAAGTTGGAGCTACAGCAAGCAGTCGGGCTCCCACTCCAAATCTACATCCTAGGGATAGTTTTGTAAGTTAAGTCAACCCTTTTGGGAACAGAATCTACCAGGTTAAGCCAATGTGTTTGTTCATTCATTTAATCATTTGTCCGTGTTTTCATCTTTGTGTTTCTCCCATCTGGCACACTGTTTAACACATTACTAAGCCTCACTAAATGTTTTAGAATTAGTCAACGGTACATTTCCTTCTGTAACAAAGGAGCACGCCATCAAGTTGCAATGATAAACACGTAAATAATCACAAGTTGGTGTTATAAATTATTATTCTATTTACTGACTCCATTAACGCTTGTTGAGCACTTACTATACGCCAGGAGCTGGGGAGAGACGGAGAGACAGTTGCAGGGCTGAATTTAAGCGGTCTGTGAGAGTTTGACTGCCTGGATCAAATCCCAGCTTTGTTATTTTAGCTTTGGAACTTGCACAAATTATTTAACGTTACAGAGCTGTTCTTTCCTCTGTAAAATGGAAATAATAGAACATATTTCACAGGGTAGTTGTGAGGGTTATGTTAGTTAATAGATGTAAAAGTTTTGAAATAGTGCTAGGTAGGTGGTAGGTCCTCAGTAAATGTTAGCTATTATGACACCAGTTATTACTATTAGGAAGCAGTCATGTCAAAGGCAGAGTCTACAGCTAGAGGGAAAGTCAGATTTTTTAATTGCAAATTTAAAGTAAAATCTATCATTTGAAAAATAATTACAATCCACAGACATACATATGGCCAATTGATTTTTGAGGAAGATGCAAAAAGAATTTGATGGGAAAGTGAGAACATTTTCAACAAATGTATTGGAACAACAGATATCTACATACAAAACAAAACAAAACAAAACAAAAACCAAAAAAAACCTACTTCAATCCTTACCTCACACTATACGCAAAATTTAACTCATAATAAACCACAGACCTAAATACAAAAGCTAAAACACAAAACTTTATCCCAAAACATTCCCTCATGCCCTTTTGTAGTCAATCCTCTTCCCCCAGCCTGAACTCCAGACAGCTAATTATCTGCTTGCTTTCTGTTACCATAGCTTTGCCTGTTTTTTTAAGAATGTCACATGAAGTAAAATCATACAGGATTTAGTCTTTTGTACCTGGCTTCTTTCCTTAGCATAATGCCTTTGAGATCCATCCATGTTTTTGCATGTTTCAAGGTTTGTTCATTTTTACTGCTGAGTGGTATTCCATGGTATGGATATACCACAATTGCTTATCCATTCACATTCTGATAAGCACCTGGATTATTGTAGGTTTTGGCAATTATGAGAAAAGCTGCTGTGAACACTGAGGTACAGCCCCTTGAGTGAGCATGTTTTCTTTTCACTTGAGTAAACATCTATTCATAAGGTAGGAAAATGTTTAACTTTACAAGAAACTGCCAAACTGTTTTCCAAAGTGGTCATCAAATTTTGAATTCCCACAGTCTCTAAGACAAACTGGGGGGAAAGTGAGGACATGAAGACCCCTGACCTAGCATCTGACCTTCTGACAAGACACACATATGGGACAGACCAAGAAAAAGAGCAACTTTTCCTTCTAAAATAGAAGTCTTTAGGAAGACAGAGGCAGAATTGTCCAAGCCCAAACCTAAGGCAGGGCCTCATGTTGGCCTAGTCTCAAAACATCTTAAATGCAAAGGAAGACAATTTTCTTACCCTCCAAGCTCACGTCCTTCACTTGTGGGCTCACCCTTTGGCATACAGAGTTGCAAATATTTAGGAAACAAGAAGTTGGGGACTATTGTATATATGCAAAGACCAAGGGCCCTCCTCTTGAATTGTTGTTATTATAGGTGAGGATTTCATTCATATTTGCCTCATTTGTTTAAACTCATCAGACAGGGGCTGAAGTCACAGTGAAATCCAATAGTTTGCTGAAATGCTAAAGGAGGCACAAAGAGCAGTGGAGCCCTCTGTGAAGATGCTTTCTGGCAAGTCCCACTCTGACCACATCAGCCTCGAGGCCACTCAGACCCAGGCATACAGGTTGTTAAGCCCATCAGAGCAAAGAGGGCGGTGTGAGCTAGACGGGGCTCCAGGTAGCAAAGGGAACAGGGCAAACCTGAAGGTCTATTGGTTGCTACTACGGTTATAGATTGTTACAGCAAGTGGTTACAGGGTCAGAGTTTGAACAAGGGGCAAGGGATTCCAAACTATTAATACATACTTCAGAGCCCCAAGACTCCCCTCAGTGGACATGAGGGAAGATGAGGTTCCCTGCTCTCTTTTCCTCCAACGAAAGCAGCTATGGTTTCAAGTATTTGATATATTTGGGTTTGCATAAAATTTTGCTTTTTGTTTTTTTGTAAAGGCATTTTCCTGAAAAAAAAATAAAACTTGAAAATTACTAGATCAGAGCCAGATCCAAAAATCAAACCTCTACAGGGGCAGGCCGGTAACCTAAATGAGCGAAGCAGGCTGAGGAATGTACAAAAGGGAGTGGTGGGGACTGAGGCAAACCGGCACGTGCATGCTTCCTCTAAAAGGTAGCTGGTAATCAACTCCAGCAGGTTGTTGCTCTGGGAAAATCAGAACCCAGGGCCGTCAGATCTGCTGATTTTCGGGAGAAGCCAGAAAAACAGATTTTGTTGTGTAAAATCTCTCAATTATTAAATGTCATCAACCAATGCAGCTTATTTTAGAATATTCTAAAATAATGTGCAAAAATGCACATCAATGATCTGGATTTGGCTTCCAGGTCACCAACTAGCTCTGGTCTGGAAAAATATTACAAATGATAGTAGCTTTCCATTATTTGGGGATCCCACCTTCCATGAAGGTAGGAACTATTTCTTTTTATTTTCCTTTAATCATTAAATCCCCAGTACTTAGCCAAGGGCCTGGCATATTAGGTGCACAAATATTTCTTGAATGACTAACTGGGTCACTTTTATCTGGCTCTCCCTGCACCAAGATAAGGCTCAGATCCCAAACAAATCCCCCATCTTGCTCTAATATTCCAGGGTGACAGCCCTGTTCCTTCAGAGACAGCTAGTGCTCAGAAGGCAGAGCGAAGCTGGAAGGACACAGATGTGGGAACAGATCATTCCTGGGTGTGTATTCCTTGCACATGTGTATCTTTCTAGATATTGGCAAATACATATATATATATATATATTTTTTTTTTTTTTTTTTTTTTTTTTTTGAGATGGAGTCTCGTTCTGTTGCCCAGGCAGGAGTGCAGTGGCATGATCTCAGCTCACTGCAACCCCCGCCTCGTGGGTTCAAGCAATTCTCCTGCCTCAGCCTCCTGAGTAGCTGGGATTACAGGCACCTGCCACCACGCCTGGCTAATTTTTTTTATTTTTAGTAGAGACAGGGTTTCACCACATTGGTCAGCCTGGTCTCGAACTTCTGACCTAGTGATCTGCCCACCTCAGCCTCCCAAAGTGCTGGGATTACAGGCGTGAGCCACCGCGCCGGGCCTGGAAAATAATTTTTAAAAGACAGCTGAAGCTCCACTGGTCAAAGGCACCCCTCTTCAGTTCCCAGGCATTTTTAGGAAAAAGTAACTTCTGGTTCATGCCAGGAAACCCTCTGCCACTGATGCAGGGCAAGCAAGCTCCAAATTGGGGCTTAGCCCAGGAGACTTCTTGGCTTCACTCAGGAAAAAATTTAAGAGTAAGCCAGTGGTAGAAGCTTTATTGAGGTAGCAGTGTTACAGCTCCTTCACTGCTCTTGCAGAGCAGGGCTACTCCTTAGGCAGTGTGAGGGGTTAGCAGCTCAGAGGCAGTTTTGCAGTCATATTTTTATTTATTTATTTATTTATTTATTTATTTATTTATTTATTTTTTGTGAGACAGAGTCTCACTCTGTCACCCAGGCTGGGATGCAATGCTGCGATCTCTGCTCACCACAACCTCCGTCTCCCGGGTTCAACCAATTCTCCTGCCTCACCCTCCCAAGTAGCTGAAATTACAGGCACCTGCCACCATGCCTAGCTAATATTTGCATTTTTAGTAGAGATGGGGTTTCACTGTGTTGGCCACGCTGGTCTTAAACTCCTGACCTCAAGTGATCCACCCGCCTCAGCCTCCCAAAGTGCTGGGATTATAGGTATAAGCCACCGCACCTGGCCTGCAGTCCTATTTATATTCACCTTTAGTTATATGCAAATTCAGGAGTGGATTATGGAGAAATTTCTAGAAAAGGTGGTGACTTCAGGCCATCAGGTCGTTGCCCTGGAAAGGGACGGTAACTTTCAAGTATTGCCATGCAATGGTAAATTGTCATGGCACACTGGTGGGCGTGTCTTATGAAAAGGTGCTTCCACCCTGTCCCTGTTTTAGCTAGTCCTCAGTTTGGTCTAGTTTTCAAGCCCCACCTCCGGCGTCAGGTCCCACCTCCTGAGTTGAGTCCCACCTCCTACCTCACTATCATCATTCACACTTGAGGAGGATAGAAGCCTCACTGTCCTCTAAGGAGGAGACACTTGAGCAAAATCTTGAATGACAATGTAGACAGACATCAATGCAGGGTCAGTTTCAGCAGGTGCTCCGAAACAGCAAACACAGGCTTTCCCTTTGACCAACTCTGCAGGACCTACAAAGGAAGTAATAGAATGATTTTGTGGCCCACAGCCCACCTTGACCTGCCCAAAAACTAGAGTTAAAGTTGGAAAAGTTGGAGAAATGGTCTTTGAGATGGGGTCGTGAGGTCCCTTGTTGGAGGGATATTTTCTCTTCACCTAAGCCTAGTAAGAATTCCAGGCACCGGCCGGGCGCAGTGGCTCACACCTGTAATCCCAGCACTTTGGGAGGCCGAGGCGGGCGAATCACGAGGTCAGGAGATCGAGACCATCCTGGCCAACACAGTGAAACCCCAGCTCTACTAAAACTATAAAAAATTAGCCAGGCGTGGTGGCAGGCGCCTGTAGTCCCAGCTACTCGGGAGGCTGAGGCAAGAGAATGGCGTGAACCCAGGAGGCGGAGCTTGCAGTGAGCTGAGATCGCGCCACTGCACTCTAGCCTGGGCGATAGAGTGAGACTCCATCTCAAAAAAAAAAAAAAAAAAAAGAATTCCAGGCACCATTCTGGATTCTGGATGCTTCCCTTGCATCCTGGAGTTTGGCTAGCACAATGGACTGTTCTCAGGAACTTTCAGCCTCCCTACAATGGTGTCTCTTTCTAAATAGGAGAAGCTGTCACTATGAGTCAGAAGTGGTAGACATGTCCACCCACATCAGTGGCAAAGATGCACAACTCTTTCTAATGGATCAGGTATGGGCCATAGGAGAGACTGGACATTTGTAAAACACTCAAATACTGCCCCTGAAATCTGCCTGGGGAAGAATGAGGACCCCAGCCTGGGGTGGAACGCTAGACCTGGATTCCTAAGAACAGCAGCAGAGAACAGAAATGGCATATACTATAAGCAACTTGGTCAAATATTCCCAGTGAAGACCCCAAAGGGCCCACAAATGTACTCCAACAGATGGAGGCAGCTTTGCATCTACTAATTTGCTGTGGTCAGAAGTAGTCAACTCACATTTATGTAAATACCAGTTCTGCTAGACCTCTCCTGGCCCTCACCTATCCCCATTCCCTTACCCCCATTCTGACCTGGAAGGTCAGCAACCTCAGCTAATAAGCTGGTGGCAGGGCAGGAGGAAGGAAAGCACAAGACGGGAAACAGAAAAGAAGCTTCCCACTCACTTCCGACTCCCCATCTGACCCAGTGCAGACATGCACACGCACACTCATATACCATACACACACACATGCATGAACATGCACATGTATGCACATGCACACGTGCACATGTACACATGCATGCACACATACACACATACACATGCATGCACACATACACACATACACATGCATGCACACACATAGTATACACATGCTTGCACACATACACAGACACACAAACACACATACACCTACACATAAACTCATACACATAAATACACATACACACCTACACACACATACCTAGGCATACATACCTGCATATATAAACACACATACACACATACACACATACATACATACACATATACACACATCCACACACACTATAACTTCGACAATAGGCATAGCTGGAGTGAAAGGGGACAAAACATTTTACCTTGAATAAAGTTGGGTGCCTTTTTTTCCTTAAACGTTGCCTTGGGCTGGATATATTAATTACTAAAATAAGAATTATTGTGTGGTAAAGAAAAAAAATGACTGGAGGACTTTTTAGTTCTGAAGAATGAGCTGGCAGACTCAAACACCCAAGATTTCATCAAAAGGCAGAGGATACATTATCCCCAGAGAGCTGAGGAGGAAAGAGTAGCACTATCCAAACAGTTGTTTTTTTGATATGTAGGAGGCAGGGAAGGACATTCCCGGCCTTGGCAATGGGAATACACAAAGATCTAAGGTGTGAGTGTATGAAGGAAGAACAGGCAGGCTGGCGTGGCCAAAGCTGTGTGGAGGGGCATGGTGACAGACAGCATGGAGAAGGTGGATGGGGCCAGCTCACAGGGAAGACAGGAGATGCTTCTAAGTGAGTTCTTTTTAAAAGATTTTTTCTATTTCCATAGGTTTTTGGGGAACAGGTGGTATTTTGTTACATGAGTAAGTTCTTTAGTGGTAATTTGTGAGATTTTCGTGCATCTATCATCCAAGGAGTATACACTGTACAAATACACCAAGCAGAATTTGTAGTCTTTTATCCCTCACCTGCTTCCCACCCTTTCCCCATGAGTCCCCCAAGTCTACTGTGTCATTCTTATACATTTGCATCCTCATAGTTTAGCTCCCACTTATAAGTGAGAACATAGATGTTTGGTTTTCCATTCCTGAGTTACTTCACTTCGAATAACAGTCTCCAATCCCATCCAGGTTGCTGCAAATGCTATTAATTAATTCCTTTTTATGGCTGAGTAGTATTCCTTCATATATATATAAAACACAGTTTCTTTATCCACTCATTGATTGATGGGCATTTGGGTTGGTTCCATATTTTTGCAACTGCGAATTGTGCTGTTATAAAAATGCGTGTGCAAGTATCTAAGCGAGTTCTCGATTCTGACTGAGAGAGAAGGCCTCTAAGGAGGCAAGAAACGGGCTGTGTTGATGCTCTCAGAAGATGAACCTGGTGATGGTGTGGACAGAGACTAACCTTTGGAGGTCATCACAATACACAATAATACAGTGAAAAACAATGACCTGGGTCAGAACAGCTGCAGCCAGACTGGGAAGATGGATCTGAGGACCTCTCGGGAAGCAGAATTGACAGGAACCACCCATTCTTTGGATAGAGAAGTAGTGGAATGGGAGAAGTCAAGGATAGCAACTTGTTGGAGCTTGAGCAACAGGGAACTGCGTGATGCCAATAACCTGGCTATGAAATTGAGACGATCTTGCTTTGGTGCATTGCACAAAAGGAAAGATAAAATCAAGAAGAAATCTGGAAGGAAAAATAATGAGTTCAGTTTCTAACATGTTGAGTTTGAGGTGCTATTGTCAGGACAGTCTTGAGAAGACATTTGAGAAGCAGCTGGGCATTCAGTTCTTGAAAGTCCAAAGAGATCAGGGCTGGTGACCTAGAGGTCTGTTCTCCCAGCTCAGTGTCCTCCCCAGGCGGCAACTGTGGTATAAGGCATGCATCCACACGTGGAAAATTGTCTCAATTATTTTTAGCACATCTTAGAGGTAGAAGAGAAAGATGGATCTCCTTTGACATTTTCATTACGTTCATTCTAAAATTATACTCTCCTGATTTCGAAGGACTTCCAGTGCCTTGTGTTGATATATAACCACATAACTTTACTCTCTGTGTATAATGCTGAATTACTTACTCCTCTTCCAGGGCTCAGTTCTGACATGGGATGTCAAACAGAAACAGAACATGCATCTCCTGCATCTGGGGGTAAAACCTTACAGAGAATTCTATGGGCTGCAATAAATAATTCCTGGTCTTCCTGGAAAGGAGCTCTGTGAACAGACAGGGTAGGGTCACTGCAGATTTATGACTGCATCCTTGAGGTAGCAGGCTATCCACAGCCCAGGGCAGAGGCCTACAAGACAGGTAGGAGGTCCAAGGAAGCCATGTTGCAAAAGGACAGTTGGCCCTAGGGCTGTGACACCTGGCACCTCAAAAGCCATGTGACAGATGTTTTCATTTCCTAGCCTTTTTTACTGCTACTTCCACTGCCAGAAAAAGAACTTGAGTTTTATTGAAATGTGAGTGTGTTTGCCGACAGTCATTCAAGCCTGATACCAAGGACACTGAGAAAAGCTTCTATTATGGTGAATAAAACTTCTGGCTACTCAGCATGCCCAGAAGTTGGCCTCAGATGAACTGTATCCTGGGGGAAGACTGACTCCCCATCTGCCTTCTCCTCACTCATGTTTCTCATTTTCCATTGCATTCATCTGTCTCTTGGCTTTCTTACTCTCCCTTTCTCTCATTCTCTTTCTTTCCCTCTCTTCCCCTGCTTAATTTTGCTATGAAAACCTCCTTCTTCTACATAGTCTTGGGTAGATTACCTTACCTCTGAGGCTCTTAGTTTTCTCACCTGCAAAATAATGGTGTTAGACCAAGTGTTTCTCAAACTTCAATGCCTAATGATTCATCTGAAGATGTTAAAATATAGATTCTGATTTAGTAGGCCTGGCCTAGGGCCCAATATTCTGCATCTCTAAAAAAAACTCCCAGGTGATTGCAACGTGGGCCACACTTTAAGTAGGGGGAACTATGGATGGCAAAGAATCCTCACCTGCAGTGCCGTCTCTAACAGTATTGGGAATACCAGGATGCATCTGACCTCAGTGCGGGGGGAAATGAACGTGAACCATGCATTCAAATTGAGCACATTAAATATTTGCCCTTAATGGAATAAATCATCTCTAAGCATGCTTACAATTCAGTGCTCTAAAACATCTGTGGTTTTCTTCCACAAGGGGCACATCTCAAAACCTGTCCATGTATGAAAGAGTCTGATGACCTCATTGGCTGTGTGTTAATGACAGACTATTCTTCAACACCTTAAAAAAACAAGGAGAACAGGAATAATAAAGGTAAAGGTCAACAAAGCACAGGACAAAGAAAATTATAAACAACTAACAAAACAAGAAGTTGGTTTATAGAAAAGGCTCATAAAGATAAAACTTGGAAAGAATGATCAAGGGACAAAAAAGAAGGTGTAAATAAACACAATAGAGAATATAAATGGAGAAATAACTATAGACACAAAGGATGTTTTAATAATTTAAAGGAATATTATGAACAAGTAAACACCAACAAATGTCAAAACCCAGAAGCAATGAATGAACAATTTTAAAAGTACAAAATGCAAAAAAAATTAATACAAATGAATAGAAAATGTATTTATACCAGTAATGCTTAAGAAATTTAGGAAGTAATAAAAAGACTTCTCTCTAAACCTCATATCCACACAAAGCCAGGTCTAGGTTTTACAGGTTTGCAACCAAACTTTCAAATAAAAACTAATCTTTATGTCAAACAAGTTGTGCCACACACACACACATACACACACACACACACACAAAGAAAACAGAAAAAGAAGGAAAGCTGTCTCACTCGTATGAAAAAAAGTATAACTTTGATAGTAAAACCATACAGGGGAAAATCAAAGAAAGAGGATTATAGGCCAATTTTACTTATGAATATAAATGAGAGTCCTAAATAAAATATTGACTACTACTAAAATCCAACATATATTTTAAAATAAGCCATCATAATCAGACTTTACCTCAGATATTAGGGGATGATTCAACATTAGAACATCTATAAATCTTATTCACAAAGATAAAGTAACAAAGAAAACTCAGAAGATTTTCTTAGTAGACAATGGAAAGCATTTTTATAAGTCAATACATTCTCATTTAAAACTCTTATAAAACAGGAATATAAAAGAGGTTCCTAAATTGATAAAGCCTACCTACAAAAACCCTATAGCAAACACACATAATGGACATGTTAGAAGATAGAAAAGAAAGCAGATATACTTGTTGTAATCACTACTTTTGCCAAGCTTTGAAAGGTCTTGTCTAATTCATTAAAATAAAAAAAAAAGAAAAAGTAAAAGATAGAAAAAAGTGAGAAAACTTGCAATTATTTAAAGACATAATTTTTTTAAATTGTTTAAAAATCTCAGCTTCCAGAAGACAGAATTATTTTTTATTTATTTATTTTTATTTTTTTGAGACAGGGTCTCTCTCTGTCGCTCAGGCTGGAGTGCAGTGGCATGATCTCTGCTTCACTACAACCTCTGCCTCCTGGGTTCAAGGGATTCTTGGGCCTCAGCCTCCCAAGCAGCTGGGATTATAGGCTTGTACCACCATACCTAGGTATTTTTTATATTTTTAGTAAAGATGGGGTTTCGCCATGTTGGCCAGGCTGGTCTTGAACTCCTGGCCTCAAGTGATCTGCCCACCTCGGCCTCCCAAAGTGCTGGGATTACAGGCATGAGCCACCGTGACTGGCCCAGAATGATTGTAAAAGTTGCAATTCTTTGAATTCATTTACTTAGAAATCTCAAAACAATCAAACTAATGAATGTTTGTTGAATTAATGAGAAAATGAATGAATGAATGAATGAATGAATGAGATGATGCAGCAAGATTTCCTGACACAAGATCAGCACATAAACATAACAGCACTCAAGAACCACTCTGAAATGGCAATCTGAGAAACTCCACAGGACCTCCTCCCAACGAAACAACCATAATGGGTGAAATTTATAAAACAACCAACTAAAGTCTCCAGAGATAATACTAAAAACAAATGGAGAAACATTTCTTTAGAAAAAAATCTACTAAATATCAGTAAAACAGTGAGAATCTGGTATTTTAGCTGCAACTCAACTCTTTTTCTTTTTTTTTTTGAGACGGAGTCTCGCTCTGTCGCCCAGGCTGGAGTGCAGTGGCACGATCTCGGCTCACTGCAAACTCCGCCTCCCAGGTTCGCGCCATTCTCCTGCCTCGGCCTCCCGAGCAGCTGGGACCCGGATGCCCGCTACCACACCCGGCTAATTTTTTTTGTATTTTTTAGTAGAGACGGGGTTTCACCGTGTTAGCCAGGATAGTCTCCATCTCCTGACCTCGTGATCCGCCTGCCTCAGCCTCCCAAAGTGCTAGGATTACAGGCGTGAGCCACCGTGCCCGGCCTAGCTGCAACTCAACTCTTTAGAGGCCACTCCCCCTGCAACTCAGTGTGACAAAAGCTCAACTCTGGGCAGATGCCACCAGGAACAGAACTCTTTCTCCCCCAGCTCTCAGTCCAGGGGTACAGTTCCCCCTGGGAGAAGCATATTGCCAGCAGTTCTCATCCCTCTCCCCCAGCTCCATGTTTTGGAAACTCTATTGAAGGAGGATAATACCCAGAGATCTGGGGCTTCCTTCCTCCATCCAGCCCGCATGTATAGGGTGAAAGCTAGACACAGCAGGCCAAAAATACTTGGTTCAGATCGCCCTTACTCTAGCTCACTTATGGAGTCCATACTCTGTAGTGAAGGAGATGAGCCAAGAAAACCAGAGATTACCACCCATGCCCAGAGCTATGCTCATAAAGCAGGGGTATCGCACCAAGATAAGTGGACCATTGCCCTGCTATGGTTTGACAGTGTCCCCCAAAATTTATGTGTTAGAAACTTAATCCCCAATGCAACAGTGTTGGGAGGTGGGCCTTATATGAGGTCTATAGGTCATGAGGACTTTGCCCGAGTGAGTGGACTAATGTCACTATAAAAAGGACTTGTGGGAGTGGATTCTCTCTCTGTCTCTCTTCTACTCTTCTGCCATGTGAGGAACAGCACTCCTCCCCTCTAGAGGATGCAGTGTTCAATGTGCCATCTTGGAAGCAAAAACTGGACCCTCGCCACACCTAACCTGCTGGCACCTTGATTTTGGACTTCCCAGCCTCCAGCACTATGAAATAGATTTCTGGTTTTTATAAATTGCCCAGTCTGTGGTATTCTGTTATAGCAGCACAAATGGACTAAGACAATCCCCAACCCCAGCTCCAGAGCAATGATGCAAAGATTCTGCCCAGTGGGTAAGGCAGGCCATAAGAACAGAGAGCTGAACTCCATACCTCTGTCAGAGGAGATTGATTTTTTCTTCAGCAGACCGTATGGAAGTTCAGGCCTAAGGGCATTTGCATCATTAATAAGAAGGATTTTGTTGGTGAGCACTTAGAGGAAGCTGGTAGCTCCAGAATAGCAATAAATAAGCAAAATAGTAGATCAGCTAGTTTACCAGAGAGAACCAGGGAAGACAGAGAGACAGCTAAGAAGAGCCATCGTGGGAGAAATACAAGCCTCAAAGACTGGCCTCAAAAACTCATCCCTCCAGGGCTTGACCTTAATTGGATCAGACTGTAGAGCAATGTATGCCCAGGGGCATTGTTAAAAACAATAGAATGATCAGCTAGCCATGGTAGAGAACAATAGAGGCAGACCAGCCAGAGACTTACAGGAATATCAGAAAAAGAGAAAGTCAAGGAGAGCCTAAAATCACTGTCATCCCTAAAAATGAGAATGCCCAAGTCTGTGCCATTTGAGGAAAAACATTAAAGGTTTCATACTGCATGAAAAATAAACTTCACTAAACTAGTGCAACAAAGTCACTAAACAAATAAACTATCAAATAACAACACCACAAAGCCCTTCCTGAGGTGGGGGTGGGGGTAGACAGGAAATCAGTATTCAGAGTTGCTACAATATATTATCTGAAATGCCTGGTGTTCAAAAAGAAAGAACAAATAAGATTTTCAAAGATGTAAGAAAGTGTGATCCATTCACAGGAATAAAAGCAAACAAAAGAAACTGCCTTTAAGTGGAGTTCCAGATGTTGACTTGGTAGATACACATTTTAAACAAGCGACTATAAATATGTTCAATAACTAAATGAAACAGTGCTTAAATGATTAAAAGAAGATATGATAACGTCACATTAAATCAAAAATAGCAATTAAGGTAGAATTTAATAAGGAACAAAATGGAAATTTTGGAATTAAAAACTAGAAAAACCAAAATGAAAAATTCACTAGAGGGGCTCAACTGTAGATTTCAGCTGTCAGAAGAAAGAATCAAATCAAAAGAGGGAAAAAGAGGCTAGGGAAAAATAAATAAATCCTTGGAGAAAATATGAGACATTATGCACACTAACATATGCCTAGTGATAGTACCAGAAGGAAAGAAAAGAGTGAGAGATCCAGAAAAAAAATTTGAAGAAATAATAGCTGAAAACTTCCCAAACATGTTTTTTAAATTATTATATGCTTACAAGAAGCTTACCAAACTCCAAGTGGGATAAACACAAAGATACATAATAGTCAACATGTTCAAAGACAAAGACAAAATTAGGAAACCTGCAAGAGAAAAAATAATTCCTTGCATACAAAGGAATTCCAATAAGATTAATAGCTGACTTCTTTCAGAAACAACGGAGACCAGAAGGCAGTGAGCTGGCCATATTCAAAGTACTGAAAACAGAAACTGTCAACTAAAAGTATTATATCCAGCAAAACTATGTTTCAAAAGCAAGAGAGAGATTAAAGCATTCCAAGATAAACAAAAACTGAGAGAATGTATTGCTAGCAGACCCACCTTACAAGAAATTATAAAGGAGGTTCTTGTGAATGACACAAAATAATAATTCAAATTCACAAGAGAAAACAAAAAGCTCTGCTAAAGGTAATTATGCAGGTAAATATAAAATACAGTATATGTGTATATGTATTCTTTATTCTCTTAACTACTTAATAACAATTGCATATCATTGTGTTCACATGTCTGTGTGTCTACGTGTGTGTGCGTATTTGTATTGTTGGGCCTGTAACACATAGAAATGTAATATATTTGACAATAGTAGTACAAAGGAGATGGTAACAATAAAACTGTATTGTAGGAAGGAAATAGCACCATATAGTAAGTTGAATCCACAGGGAAAATGAAGAGAATCAGAAATTTAAATAAGAGGACTAATATAAACTTTGTAAATATATACTTGCTCTTTTCCATTCTCTTAGCTTCTCTAAAAGACATACTTTATAGAAAATCATAACTATAACAATGTATTGATAGGTTTGTAGCATACATAAACATACTATATGTAACAATAGCACCAAATAGTGAGTAGGGAGTGGAACTTTATAGGCGTAATATTTCTATATCTCACTGGAATTAAAAGAGCAGAAATCTGAAGTAGGTTTTGATAATTTAAGATTTATATTGTAGCATGAGAGCAAGCATTAAGAAAATATCTCAAAAATATAGATACAAAATATAGAAAATATCACAAAATTATAGATTAAAAGTCAGTTAAAAATTAACATGTTACAATAGAAAATATTCACTCAATGAAAAACAAAACAGTAAATGAGAAATAAGAAGGAAAAATACATGAAATATATAGAACATAAAATATCAGACACAGTTACTGGGTATAAAAATAGAATAAATAAGGCCTAGTATTTGCTAGCACAGTAAGGTGACTATAGTCAAAATTAATTTAAAGGTACGTTTTTAATAACTAAAGGAATATAATTGGATTGTTTCTAACACAAAAAATAAATGCTTGAAGTAATGGATACCCCATTTACCCTGATGTGATTATGATGCATTGCAGGCTTGTATCAAAATATCTCATGTAACCCATAAGTAGATAGACCAACTATGTACCCACAAAAATAAAACATAAAAATAAGGCCAGGCACAGTGGCTCACACTTGTATTCCTAGCACTTTGGGAGGCTGAGGTGGGCAGACTGCTTGAGCTCAGGAGTTTGAGACCAGCCTGGGCAACACAGTGAAACCCTGCCTCTACAAAAAAATACAAAAATTAGCCATGTGTGGTGGCACGCACCTGTAGTCCCAGCTTTGGGGGTTGAGGCAGGAGGATCACTTGAGCCTGGGAGGTCAAGGCTGCAGTAAGCCAAGATTGCACCACTGCACTCCAGCCTGGGTGATAAAGTGAGACTCTGTCTCAAATAAAAATAAGAAAAATATCAGACATAAATTAAGTTATATTAATAAGTGTATAATTAGAAAATGGATTAAGCAATTCAATCAAAAGACAGAGATTGCCAGATTAGATTTTTAAAAAACAAGATATAACTATATGATCCAACCACAGGAGACATACTTTAGATTCAAAGATACAAATAGTTTACAAAAGAATGAAAAAATATACACCACGTAATAGCAACCATGAGAGAGCTGGAGTAGCCACATAATAACAGATAAAATAGCCTTTAAAAAAATATGTTACTAGAGATAAAACAAGATATTTTACAATAATGAAAGCATCCATCCAAAAGGAAAATATTACCATTATAAACTTACAATGCACCTAACAGAGCCCCAAAACACACAAATCAACTAGACTCATTAGACATCTATAGAACCCTCCTCCATCCAGCTACAGCAGAATACATGTTCTTCACAAATGCACATAGAACATTATCCAGAATAGACCATATGGTAGCCCATAAAACACGCTTCATTAAATATAAGAAAATTGAAATCATATAAAGCATGTTTTCTGAACACAGTGGAATGAAATTAGACATCAATAACATAAGGAGACAGAAAACGCCTAAGTACACGGAAAATAAACAACACTATTAAATGGCTAATGAGTCAAAGGAGAAACCATGCAAATTAGAAAATAGTTCAGGGTGAATAAAAACAAAAACATGACATATCAAAACTTATGTGACATAACTAAAGCCAGGCTTAAAGGGAAATTGTAACTGTAAATGCCTATATTCATAAAGAAGAAAAATACCAGATCAATAAGCTAAGCCTCCACCTTAAGAAGGAGAAAAAGAAGATCAAACCAAACTCAAAGCAAGCAGATACGAAGATATAATAAATATTAGAGCCCAATCAAATCAAATAAAGACAAAAAACAGCAGAGAAAGATCAATGAGACAAAAGTTCGCCCTTTAGAAGTTCAACAAAATTGACAAACCTTTAACTAGACTGACTTTAAAAAAGGAGAAAAGACTTGAATTAGTAGAGTCAGGAATAAAAGAAACAACATTACCAATGACATTACCAAAATAAAATGGATTATAGGTGAATATTATGAACAATGTATGCCAACAAATTCGATCATTTCAATGAGATAGACAAACTCCTAGAAAGATACAAGCTATAAAAACTGACACAAAAAGAAATGGTAAATACGAGTAGACCTATAACAGGTAAAGAGATAGAATTAGTGATCAAAAAAAGTTCTCAAAAGGAAAAGTTTATGACAAGGTTATTTCACTGCTGAATTCAACCAAATAATTAAAGAATTAATATCAATACAGTTTTATTATCACCCATCTCCTTTGTACTGTTATTGTCAAATATATTATATTTCTATATGTTATAGACCCAAGAATACAAATACAAATACACACACACACACACACACACACACACACACACACAGAGACACTCTTCCAAAAAATAGGAATAGGAAACACTTCCCAATTTATTCAATGAGATCAGTGTTATCCTAATACCAAAACCAGACAAAACATGACAGGAAAAGAAAGCAATCTATCAATGTACCTTATAAATTGCTTACAAAAATCTCCCTCCCAAAAAGTACTATCAAATCAAACCTAGCAATGTATAAAAGTTATTATACACCATGATCAAGTGAGATTTATCCCCACAATGCAAGTTGGCATAGCATCCAAATTCAATTAGGATAATACATCACATTAATAAAACATAGGACAAAAGTACATGATTATCTCCATAGATACATGTGATATTGTGATATAATAAGGAACGTATATTTGGTTTTCATCTCCTGTTCCTAGCACAGAGCTCCTAAAATCCTTGGAATTTCCTTAGTGATAAGAGTAAAAATAAAGCTTTGCTATTTATAATAAGCCCCTTTCAACTATACCTGAATTGATGCTAATCAGGAGACCCTCGGAGGAGCAGAGCTGGTTGCTAGAGGAACCAACCACGTGATTAGAGGGTTGGAACTTTTAGCCCCAACTGTAGCCTCTGGGGAGGGAAGTGGGGGTGAAAATTTGACCTCATCTTCAGTGGCCAATAATTAACCAATCATGCCTATGTCATGAAGCCTCCATATAAACTTTTTTTTTTTTTTTTTTTGAGACAGAGTCTTGCTCTGTCACCCAGGCTGGAGGGCAGTGGCATGATCTTGGACCACTGCAACCTCCGCCTCCCAGGTTGAAGCGATTCTCCTGCCTCAGCCTCCCAAGTAGCTAGGATTAAAGGTGCCCACCACCACATCTGGCTAATTTTTGTATTTTTAGTAGAGACGGGTTTCGCCATGTTGGCCAGGCTGGTCTCAAACTCCTGACCTCAGGTGATCCGCCCGCCTCGGCCTCCCAAAGTGCTGGGATTACAGGCGTGAGCCACGGCACCCAGCCCATGTTTTCCATGGTAGGTGAAATAGGCAAAGATGAATACTTTAAACATAGCTGTGGTAATAGTAACACAAAAGACCAAAGTAATAGTAAGAAAACCTCCATGAGGCCGGGTGCAGTGGCTCACGCCTGTAATCCCAGCACTTTGGGAGGCTGAGGTGGGCAGATCACCTGAGGTCAGGAGTTTGAGACCAGCCTGGCCAACATGGCAAAACCCCGTCTCTACTAAAAATACAAAAATTAGCTGGGCATGGTGGTGCGTGCCTGTAGTCCCAACTACAGGCTGAAGCAAGGAGAATCGCTTGAACCCAGGAGGCGGAGTTCACAGTGAGCCGAGATCCCGCCACTGTACTTCAGCCTGGGCGACAGAGAGAAACTCTGTCTCAAAAAACAAAACAAAACAAAACTTTAAATGATGAGGTTTGGAAAGCTTCCAGGTAAGTGAGCACAGAAAGGTGTGGGAGGGTGGCCTTCATAAAGAGGGCACAGTGGCTCCACACTCCTTCCCACAAACCTCACCCTGTGCATTTCTTCCATTTGTCTGTTCCTGAGTAGGCTTTCTAGTAAACCAGTAAATGTAAGTGAAGCACCCTCCTTAGTTCTGTGACTCATTCTATCAAAATTATTAAACATGAGGAGGGGATTATGGGAACTCTCAATTTCTAGCTCGTTGGTCAGACGTCTGAGTGACAACCTGGGCTTGAGACTGGCATCTGAATTGGGGACAGTCTTGTGGAGGCGATCCCTTAACCTGTGGGGGTCTGTGCTAACTTTGAGTAATCAGTGTCATCATTGAACTGTAGGACACCTGTTGATACCTGGAGCATTGGAGAATGGCTTAGTGTAGGAAAACCTCCACATATTTGGTGTCAGAAACGTGAGTGTAGAAGACACAGTTTTTTCTTTTAACACAGAAAAAGCATACGACAAAATCAAATGCTTTCATGATAAAAATACTAAACAAACTAGGGATAAAGTCAACCTAATAAAGGACATCTAAAAACCCACAGCTCCTGGCCGGGCGTGGTGGCTCATGCCTGTAATCCCAGCACTTTGGGAGGCCAAGTTGGACGGATCTCCTGAGGTCAGGAGTTCAAGACCAGCCTGGCCAACATGGTGAAACCCCGTCTCTACTAAAAAATACCAAAATTGGCCAGGCGTGGTGGCACACACCTGTAATCCCAGCTACTCAGGAGGCTGAGGCAGGGAGAACTGCTTGAACCTGGGAGGCGGAGGTCGCATGAGCCGAGATCACACCACTGCCCTCCAGGGATGTCCACTCTAGCCATTTCTACTTAATATTTTACCAGAAGTTCTAGCCAAGGCAACTAGACAAGAAAAGAAATACAGTCATGGATCACATAGCAACGTTTCAGTCAACAACAGGCCGCATGTATAACAGGCCCATGTCCTGACTCGTAGATGGCCATCTTTTTGCCATGTCCTAACACAGCAGAAGGGGCCAGGGATCTTCCCAAGGTCTCTTTGATAAGGGCACTAATCCCATTATGAGGGCTCCATTCTTATAACCTAATTTCCTATTAAAGCCTCTACCTAGTCATATTATTATGTTGGAGATTAGGATTTTAATATCTGAATTTGGAGGACACACAAACATTCAGACCATAGCAGATGCCATTGCAGGCTTTTGAGCAGGAGGCTGCCTGATACTATTAAGATTTTTTTTTTCTTTTTGAGACAGAGTCTCTTGATGGCTTATTAGAATTCTTTTTGTGTGTGTGACAGGGTCTCACTCTTTTGCCCAGGCTGGAGTACAGTGGGGAGATCTCGGCTCACTGCAACCTCCACCTTCCAGGTTCAAGCGATTCTCCTTGCCTCAGCTTCCCAAGTAGCTGGGATTACAGGCGCCTGCCACCACACCTGACTAATTTTTTTTTTTTTTTTTTTTTGTATTTTTAGTAGAGACAGGGTTTCACTATGTTGGCCAGGCTGGTCTCGAACTCCTGACTTTGTGATCCGCCCACCTCAGCCTCCCAAAGTGCTGGAATTACTACAGGCATGAGCCACCGTGCCCGGCCCTATTAAGATTTTTAACAGCGTCACTCTGCCACTGTGCAGGGAAGACAAGGTTAGATCAGGAGAGACCAGTTAAGAGGCTGTTGCAGTAACCATCGTAAGATGGTGGTGGGAGCGGTGGAGGCAGCAAGAAGTGGGTGGATCCTGGATTCATTCTGAATCGAGAGCCAAATGTTTGATGCTGAATGTAATGTGGAGTAGGAGAGAAAGCAGAGGTTTAGGGAAACACAAAGGTTTTGGCTGAGTAAACGGATAACAGAGTTGCCATTACCTGAAATGGGAAAATCTGTTGCAGGAGCAAGTACCAGAGAAGATAGGAACTTGGCTTTAAATATCGAGAACATGAGATGTCTCATAGGCTTCCAAGTGGAAATGTTGCATAAGAAGTTAGATAAATAAGCTAGAAGTTCAGGGGAGAGATCCAGATTGCCAATATAAATTTGAGAATTTTTCTCTTACAGGTGCCACTGAAAGCTTTGAAATCGAATGTGATCATCAACCGAGTATGTACGTGTGCGTGTGTGTGTGTGTCCTTATTTCAACGTGTAAGTAAGTTTCTTAAAAACAATGCCTGTTTGCCTGTGTTTCATAAGAACTCTATATACAACAAGGCAACAAATGTCATGATATGTATTACCCGTGTCTGTTACCCTGCTACTTGTTAAGCACAGGCCTCAACAAAATAAAAAAGCACAACACAAGTTCATCAGCAGAGAATTTGAGAACGGCAGGATTATTTTAAATTCTACACAGACACACAGCAAACCAAGTCTAGCTGTGCTTGGAAGCTAGTAGGCATTTAACTACACTTGATTTTTATTCAGTAATTTGTCAATGAATTGGGAAAGATGGTCTCTAGCCTTCACACGACCAGTTATTTGTATGACTATGAACAAATCATTTCTCCTCTCTGAACCTTTGTTTCTTTGTATGTAAAAGTAAGCGAGTGGAATTAGATAACCCTTAACTCTCCCTCTCTTAATAGTCAGCAACAAAAATCTTTTCTAAAATAAACCTTTCCTGAAACCTGCTCGTTTTACAGCTGTATGGCTCCCCCAAGTGGCCAATGAGATGAATGTAACTGAAATGAATGCCTTGTGTTTTATGCAGTGGTTATTAATAATTGAGTTCATTTATTGATCGTTCATCACGTGTCAGACACTGTAGTAAGCATTTCGGGTGCATTTTCTCATTAAATTCTCACCAGAACACTATAAGACAGTTACTGTGTGTATATCCTCATCTGTAAGAAATTGAGACATAGGATTCCACATAGCAACAGGAAATGACGATCCGGGATTGAAACCTAGGCAGTCTAAATCCAGAATGTAAACTCTTAACAACTATGCTCTCCAGTATAAGTCACTGTTCAGGGGTAAGAATGGATGAACATCCAAGGCTGGAGAAGCTTTTGGGGTATTGGCCCTTGACTTGGAGAGGTTATGAATGGCTACCTGCCTGTGGAGAGACTTGGCTGGCTGTCTTCTCACTTCCTGACGTCAGAAAGGATTTCAGAAGCCAATCGAGGTCCCCTTGAAAAGCCACTGCTATCCATGCTGTCCAGGCCCCCAGTGCTATAGGAAAGAAGGCAGGCTTCTAAAATCCATCAGGACTGGAAGAAGTATCTTCTACTCAGGCAGTTTCCTTAGATCAACGTCTTCAATAGCACAGTTAGAAACTGAATAGAAATTGACTTGCCTTGCTTTGCTTGTTTGCCTTCAGGTAGTTTAGGGGAGGCTTTTGGTTTTAAGATTTAGTAAAGTCGTATGTTTACTGCGGCACTATTCACAAAGACTTGGAACCAACCCAAATGCCAACAATGATAGACTGGATTAAGAAAATGTGGCACATATACACCATGGAATACTATGCAGCCATAAAAAATGATGAGTTCATGTCCTTTGTAGGGACATGGATGAAGCTGGAAACCATCATTCTCAGCAAACTATCACAAGGACAAAAAAACAAACACCACATGTTCTCACTCATAGGTGGGAATTGAACAATGAGAACACACGGACACAGGAAGGGGAACATCACACACCAGGGACTGTTGTGGGGTGGGGGAGGGGGAGGGATAGCATTAGGAGATATACCTAATGCTAAATGACGAGTTAATGGGTGCAGCACACCAACATGGCACATGTATACATATGTAACAAACCTGCATGTTGTGCACATGTACCCTAAAACTTAAAGTATAATAATAATAAAATTTTAAAAAAAAGATTTAGTTAAGTGACCAAGATAAGCAACTAACAATTAGCTGAGCCTGTGGAATCCAGGTTTTCTGGACCCGTATCCCATTCTTTTTCCTCTTTCACCTGCAATTTTAAAAACAATTTTTAACTTCAGTAAAATTTACCCTTTCCGCTGTACATTTCTATGAGATTTGACAAAGCATAGCCATTTCTTCAACTTTTGACTTCTTTCCCCAATCCACCCACTATAGTTAACTTTTCAGCACCCTCAGGGAGTGTGGCCTCTTGTATTCTGCCTGGAGTTTTTAGTTGTTGTTAATGGGAGAGATAGTTGAGGTGGGCTTACTGCATCTCTGCCAGCCCCGGAGCCCTCTAGATAGTTTTAACATTTTGGAAAGAACAATCTGTTTGTATAGTAGTTGGGCTTAGTATGTAAGGAAGAGAGAACTTTCCTTACTGGCTGGGGAGCAGGTCATGGATTGGTCCATGAAGGGGTCCCAAGGAGAAGGAAACAGGAACCCGAGCCAGGTAGCCCCGGGGCTCAGACGGAACCTTCAGGGATGCTCAGATCTAAGGCCTTCAGCAAAGGTTGCCTGGGCAGTTGAAGGAATTTCACTCTATGCCTCCAGGCCTGAAGTCTGTCCGTTTCTCTTCCTACACGAATGGGCTTTCCTTTCTATGAACATTCTCTACCGTGTAGCTTCTGCTCACAAATGGCTTCTGTTCCCTTGGAATTTGACTTATGTGTGACTTATACATCATGCTTCCCCTCCTCAGGGGCTCCGTAATTCTGTTTTCTTTCAGCCTCAGTTCCCACCGTCACCTGCTTATCTCAATATTTCCCAGTTCAAATTATTGACAAAGAATAAATAATTTGTCCACTCATCGTTTTCCATCAGCCCTGTCATAGCCTCGCCTATGGCTCAATTAATTCTCCATGGTCCAATAAGTTATAACCAGCCGGAGAGGGTAGAAGGTATTGTCACCTGTTACTCTGTGGCGGCCTGAGGTTGTTCCTGTCATCGCCCTATCTAGAATAATTAGAACTGCCAAGGTTCTTCCTCTACTATTTTTGTTGTTGTTGTTGTTCTCTAACAGCTTTTTTCTCATAATTTTTTATTGTGGTAAAATACGCATATCATGAAATTCACATATATTTAAGTGTACAGTTCAGTGATATTAAATACACAGGCGAGGCCGGGTGTGGTGGCTCACTCCTGTAATCCCAGCACTTTGGGAGGCTGAAGTGGGAGGATGGCTTGAGCCCAGGAGTTTGAGACTAGCCTGAGCGACATAGGGAGACTTTATCGCTACAAAAAATTTAAAAATTAGTTAGATGTGGTGGTGTGTGCCCGTAGTCCCAGCTGCTTGGGAAGCTGAAGTGGGAGGATCACTTGAGCCCAGAAGGTCGAGGCTGCAGTGAGCAGTGGTTGCGACAGCGCCACTGCACTCCAGACTGAGCCACAGAGGGACACCTTGTGTATAAACAAACAAACAGGCATACCTCAGAGATATTGTGGGTTTGGTTCCAGACAACCACAATAAAGCCAAGCCAATGTTGCAATAAAGTGAGCCCTACAAATTTTTTGGTTTTCCAGTGCATGTAAAAGTTTTGTTTACAGATTCTGGTTTTTTTTAGACAGTTTCACTCTTGTTGCTCAGGCTGGAGTGCAATGGCGCGATCTTGGCTCACTGCGACCTCCCCCTCCCAGGTTCAAGGGATTCTCCTGCCTCAGCCTCCCAAGTAGTTGGGATTATAGGCGTGCACTACCATGCCAGCTAATTTTGTATTTTTAGCAGAGGCAGGGTTTCACCATGTTGGCCAGGCTGGTCTCAAACTCCTGACCTCAGATGATCCACCCACCTCGGCCTCCTGAAATGCTGGGATTACAGGCCTGAGCCACTGGGCCCAGCCTGTTTACAGATTCTGACGGTGCAATTGTTGTCTAGCTAGGGAGACAGATCCCTGGCGCTTCCTACTCCTTCATCTTCTCAGACTTCTCCTCTCTAGAATCTTTTAAAAATTTTTACTGTGAAATATTTCAGATAAATAAGCATATATAAAAGATACATGTACGGTTTTTCAAATAAAGCAAACATCACTGTACCCACCACCATCTGGCTTAAGAAACAGACTTAGTCAGGCACGGTGGCTCACATCTGTAATCCTAGCACTTTGGAAGGCTGAGGCCTGTGGATTACTTGAGCCCAGGAGTTCAAGGCCAGCCTAGGTAACATGGCAAACCCCATCTCTACTAAAAATACAAAAATTAGCTGGGTGTAGTGGCACACCTGTAGTCCCAGCCACTTGGGAAGCTGAGGTGGGAGCATCGCTTGAGCCTGGGAGGCAGAGGTTGCAGTGAGCTGAGATCGTACCACTGCACTCCAGCCTGGGTGACAGAGTGAGACCCCATCTCAAAAACACAAGCAAACAAAAAACAAGAAACAGACTTAATACTCTAATACTCTCTTAGAGGCAAGTTCCTCTATGCCCCTCTCTTCCTTTCTCTCCAGAGAAAACCAACATCTTGTATTTTGAGTTAATCATTCTTTTGCTTTTTATGAGTTTTAATATCTTTAAATGTATTCCTAAAATATATTTTAGTTTTGCCTGATTTTGAACTTTATATAAGTGGATTCACAGCTATATAGCCTTCTATGACCTGCTTCCTATATTCAATGTTATTTTTTGGAGGTTCATCTATGTTGATGTGTGGAGGGATTTTTTTTTCATTTTTAATTCCTTACAACATTCTGTATGTATATATATGTCTGTATATATGTCTATATATGTATAATTACACATTTGTTAATATTCTATAACATATGTATAATTATACACGTATAGATGCCCAATTATACATCCATTCCACTGTTAGTAGACATTTTAGTATTTCTGGGTTTTGTTTTTATAAGCAATATAGACATTTGTACATACTTCCCATATATTGGCAAGAGTTTCTCTGGCGTACATACTTAGGGCAGGTTTCTGGGTCATAAAGTATTATTATTCTCAGACTTATTCGATTACAACATTTTCTCCCCAAAGTATTTATATCAGTTGACTCTCCCAACAACAGGAGATGAGAGTTCTCACAGTTCCACATCCTTCCCAACTTTGGTTTTGCCTAGCTTTTAAAATATTTTCAAATAGTTGAGTATGAAAATGGTATCTACAATTTGCCTATCAATAAGAACAAGCATCTTTTCATATCCTATTAGTCTCCTGTTAAAATGCCTATAAATGGGCCAGGCACAGTGGCTTACGCTTGTAATCCCAGCAAGGCCGAGGCAGGCGGATCACTCCTGAGGTCAGGAGTTCGAGGCCACCCTGGCCAATATGGCGAAACCCCGTCTCTACTAAAAATACAAAAATTAGCCAGGCGCGGTGGCACGTACCTGTAATTCCAGCTACTCAGGAGGCTGAGGCAGGAGAATCAATTGAACCCAGGAGGCAGAAGTTGCAGTGAGCGGAGATCACACCACTCACTCCAGCCTGGGTGACAGAGCAAAACTCTATCTTAAAGAAAGAAAAAAAATTGCCTATAAATGTTTTTACACTTTTTTTTACTGATTTGCTTGTATTTCATTTATTGATTCACAGGAGTTTTTTTATATATATATTTTAGGTATCCCAAGCCTTCGAGAGAATATTTTCTGTTGTCTTCTAAAGTTTTAAAATGTTGCCATTCATATTTTCATTCTAAATCTGTATATAATATTCATATATGCTATAAAATTAGGTCTCTAAGATCACTTTATTTTTTCCATTTGAAAGACTTATTGGCACAGAACCATTAATTTACCTTTCTCCACAGAGAATTTCCACTCTGCCAAGAATCAAGTTTTTTATGCATGCATGAGTTTATTTCTGTGGTTCTATTCAATTGCATTAAAAAAATGACTCACAGGGCTGGGCACGGTGGCTCACGCCCGTAATCCCAGCACTTTGAGAGGCTGAGGTGGGCGGATCACGAGGTCAGGAGATCGAGACCATCCTGGCTAACACAGTGAAACCCCATCTCTATTAAAACTACAAAAATTAGTCGGGCGTGGTGGTGGGCGCCTGTAGTCCCAGCTACTCGGGAGGCTGAGGCAGGAGAGTGGCTTGAACCCGGGAGGCAGAGCTTGCAGTGAGCTGAGATTGCACCACTGCACTCCAGCCTGGGCGACAGAGCAAGACTCTGTCTCAAAAAAAAAAAAAAAGAAGAGTCACAGCATGTCCCCCTCTTATTCTATTCTCTGAAAAATTTGGGAAAATTTGAAATTATCTGTTCTATTATATTTGGTAGAACTACCACTAAAACCAAGCATTAAGGTATGGTATGTTTTTTAATATTTTAAAATTATGTTTCATTGACTTTAATAATTGTAGAACTAGTGTTTTCTATTTCTCCTTGAATAAGTTTTGGTAAACTATAGTTCTCTATTCGTTTTTTTTTTATTTCCACTAAGTTTGCAAGTTTATCAGCATACATTTTTTCCCTAACATTCCACTGTTTAGTCTCTGCAGCAAGTCTATTACAGACCCCTATTCAATCCTAGTGTGGTTTGCACCTTTTCTTTCTTTACACAGAAATAGAAATCTTACCAATGGTTTATCCTTTCATCACCCCTTCCAGATAAATACATTTTTTTCTTGATTGATCCTCCCTATTAAATTTTGTCATTGGATTCTCCCTCTTTTATTTCTGCGATTAATAATTTCCTTCTGGCTGGGCACAGTGGCTCACACCTGTAATCCCAGCGCTTCGGGAGGCTGAGGCAGGCAGATCACGAGGTCAGGAGATCAAGACCATCCTGGCCACATGATGAAACCCCGTCTTTACTAAAAATACAAAAATTAGCTGGGAGTGGTGGTGGGCACCTGTAATCTCAGCTACTCAGGAGGCTGAGGAAGGAGAATTGCTTGAACATGGGAAGCAGAGGTTGCAGTGAGCCAAGATTGCGCCACTGCACTCCAGCCTGGCGACAGTGAGACTCTGTCTCAAAAAATACTGCTATTACTACTACTAAAAACTTCCTTCTATTTTCTTTTGTTTTTCTTTTACTTTTTATTCATTCATTTATTTAAAAATATTTATCAAGAGCCTATTCTTTCAATACAGGTCAGTATTATGAAGAAAGGGTACAGAGTGAGATGAGAAGGCTTACCTATTAACAGACATGTGGCTATGGCTATGTCAGGGAATCACCTTTCCTCCAAAACAGTGATGCTTCCTTGTCTCTAACAAGATCAAAACTGTAATATCTCCTTTCTTTCATGTCTACAAACCTTTTGTTGCAAGGCATAGAGCATAAATTGAACAGTGAATCAGTTTATTACAATTAATGTTTTTTCATCTTTTATCTTAGAATCAGGGGTACATGTGCAGGTTTGGTATATGGGCATTTATGTGGTGCAAGGTTTGGGGTATGATCAAAGCCGTCATCCAGGTAGCGAGCATGGTACCCAATAGGTAGTTTTTCAGTCTTTCCCCTACTTCTTCTCTTCACGCTCTAGCAGTTTCCATTGTCTATTGGTTCCATCTTTACATCCATATGTACCCAAGGTTTAGCTTCCACTCATAAATAAGAACATGAAGTATTTGATTTCGTTTCTGTATTAGTTCACTTAAGATAATGGCCTCCAGCTGCATCCATGGAGTACTATTGTGAATAGTACTGCAATGAACGTACAGGTCCATGTGTCCTTTTAGTTAAATGATTTATTTTCCTTTGGGTATATACCCAGTAGTGGGATTGCCCTGTTGAATGGTAGCTCAACTCTTAAGTTCTTTGTCCTTCTCGATATTTTCTTTAAATTTACTCTGCCATTAAACAAACAAAAATCAGCAAAAATATAAAAGATCTGAATGACAAAGTAAACAAGCTTGATCTAATACCCACAGAAAATTCTGAACCTAACAATTAGAGAATGCACATTTTTCTCAAGCACTGAGAAAAAAAAAATTCTCTTTTTGAGATAGAATTTCGCTCCTGTCGCCCAGGCTGGAGTGCAATGGTGTGATCTCAGCTCACTGCAACCTCCGCCTCCCAGGTTCAAGCAATTCTCCTGCCTCAGCCTCCCAAGTAGCTGGGATTACAGGTATGTGCCACTATGTCCGGCTAATTTTTTCTTTTTTTTTAAGTAGAGATGGGGTTTCTCCATGTTGGTCAAGCTGGTCTTGAACTCCTGACCGCAGGTGATCTGCCAGCCTAGGCCTCCCAAAGTGCTAAGATTACAGGTGTGAGCCACCATGCCTGGCCAGAAAATTTTTTTAATGATCATTTATTATTCCTAAAAAATTTCAATTTCAAATAAATACTATATGTACTAATACCTCTGACTGCAATATAATTAAGTGACAATTTAATAACAAAATATATTTGAGAATATTAAAACATAATGGTAAATAACCCCTGGAGCAAAAAATTAATCACAATTGAAATTTGAAGGAAACTTAAAACAGAAATATAGTGAAACCACTATATATTGAAATGTATGGTATGGTTCAGTACCCATTCTTAGAAATGTATAACCTTACATGTTTACATAAAAAAGAATAAAGGTTCAAAATTATTGGGTCTAATGTCCATGTTAAGAAGTTAGAAAAATAACAACACAGTAAACCTAAAGAAAGTAGATGATGAGGTAATAAAAATAACAGCAGAAACAAATAAAATAGAAAAGAAAAGCAAAAGGTGATTTCAAAAAAACTAACACAGTGGACAAATCTCCGGTAAGATTAATCAATGAAAAAAAGAGAAGATGAGAACAATATCACTAATGAAAAAAGAGAATAGATGAATTGTATTAAAAAGAAAAGTATTGGCCGGGTGCGGTGGCTCACGCCTGTAATCCCAGAATTTTGGGAGGCTGAGGCGGGCGGATCACGAGGTCAGGAGATCGAGACCATCCTGGCTAACACAGTGAAACCCCGTTTCTACTAAAAATACAAAAAATTAGCCAGGCGTGGTGGCACATGCCTGTAATCCCAGCTACTCGGGAGGCTGAGGCAGGAGAATGGTGTGAACCTGGGAGGCAGAGCTTGTAGTGAGCCAAGATTGTGCCACTGCACCCAGCCTGGGTGACAGAGCAAGACTCCATCTCAAAAAAAAAAAAAAAGTATTAATATTCATATGCCAACAAATGTAACAACTTAGATGATATAGAGAAATTAACATGAAAACGGATGCAAAAGAAATTTTTTAATTTCATAAATCATCCTATAAAAAATTAAAGCAGGGCTGGATGCAGTACCTCACACCTGTGGTCCCAGAATATTTTGGGAGGCCAAAGTGGGAGGATCACTTGAGCCCAGAAGTTCAAGGCTGTAGTGAGCTATGGTGGCTGGGTATGCCACCATATGCTGCACCTTTTCAGGAACAGCATCAGAGGCTTAACACACTGGGTCGGGGGCAGGGGGATGGTACAAAGGAAGTAAACTTCACTAAACTTATCCAACCAGTTGCTAAAAATGAAACAGGCTAATAAAAAACCCCAGAGGGGAAGGATGAGTGCTGATATTTCTACAGTATCTAAAATGTCCAATTTCCAACAAAAACTTATAAGGCATGTAAAGAATCAGAAAGTATAAACCATACAACAGAAAAATAAAATTAAAAACAGGCAACATAAACTTCCCATGATTACAACAAGATATTAGATTTAACACAACAAGATTTCAAAATAGTCATTATAAATATGTTCATGGAACTAAGGAAAATATAACTAAAGGAGTAAAGGAAGTATGATGACAAAGTCACGTCAAATAAAAGATATCAATAAAGAGAAAGCATTAAAAAGAAACAAATGGAAATTATAAAGTTGAAAAGTACAACTGAAATTTTAAAAAATTCACTAGAGGAGCTCAACAGTAGATTTGAACTGGCATAAGAAATAATTAGCAAACCTTAAGACTGATCAAACAGATTATGCAAGCCAGAAAAAGACAGAAAAAAAACAGAATGAAAAATATGAACAGAGCTTCAAAGAAATGTAGGACACTGTGCATTTATGTAATGGGAGTAACAGAAGAAGAGGAGAGAAAGAATATGAAAGATTATTCGAAGTAATAGTGAGAAGAAATTTCCCAAATTTATTGAAAAACAATAACCTACACATCCAGGAAGCTCAATGAACACTAAACAGGATAAACACAAACAAATCTAGAAACAGATGCATGATGGTAAAAATGCTGCAATCCAAAACAGAAATAAGTGGTTGGGGGAAGAAGGAAGGGAAGAAATCCTGAAAGCAGCAAGGAAAAAAATGAGTCATCAATTATAAAGAAACTCCAATAAGATTAACAGCTAATGTTTTCACAGAAATTGTGGAAACCAGAATGCAGCGGGATAACATATTTAAAATGCTCAAAGAAAGAAACAAAACTGTCATCCAAGAATCCTATATCAATAAAAGTTATCTTTTAAGAGTGAGGGAGAAATAAAGACTTTCAAGGATTAAGAAAAAACTGAAGTAAAGCATTATGGAAAACAGTATGGAGGTCCCTCAAAAAAAGTAAAAATAGAACTACCATATAATCCAGCAATTCTACTTCTGTGAATATATCCAAAGGAACTGAAATCAATATGTTGAAGGGATATGTACAATTCCTAATTTATTACAGAATTATTTATAATAGCCAAAATATGTAATCCATCTGAGTGTCTATCAACAGATGGATTGATAAAGAAAATGCGGTAGGCTGGGCACGGTGGCTCACGCCTGTAATCCCAGCACTTTGGGAGGCCGAGGCGGGCAGATCACGAGGTCAGGAGATCAAGACCATCCTGGCTAACATGGTGAAACCCCATCTCTATTAAAAATACAAAATGAGTTGGGTATGGTGATGCGTGCCTGTAATCCTAGCTACTCTGGAGGCTGGGGCAGGAGAATCGCTTCAACCAGGGAGTCAGAGGTTGCAGTGAGCTGAGATGGTGCCTGGTGACAGAGTGAGACTCCAAAGAAAGAAGGAAAGATGAAAGAAAGAAAGAAAGAAAGAAAGAAAGAGAGAGAGAGAGAGAGAGAAAGAGAAAGAAAGAAAGAAAGAAAAAAAAAGAAAGAAAGAAAGAAAGAGAGAGAAAGGAAGAAAGAAAGAGAAAGAAAGCAAGCAAGCAAGAAAGAAAATGTGGTAGATATACAGAATGAAATACTATGCAGCCTTTAAAAAGAACAAAACTCTCACTTGGGACAACATGGATGAACCTCAAGTACATAAGGCTACGTGAAACATGGCAGGCACAGAAAGACAAATACTGCATGATCTCACTTATATAAGGAATCTAAAAAAAATTAATTCATAGAAGTGGAGTGGAAAATGTTTAGCAGAGGTCAGGGGAGATGCGAGGAAATGGGGAGTTATTGGTTAAAGTGTACAACATTTTAGTTAGGAGGAGTAAAAATTACTTTTTTAATAAAACAGCCTCTAGAAATGTTCTGACAGCAAAGAGTAAATGAAGAATCATCTATTCAAGAAAACCTGCAAAACTTCTGTAAGAAAGAAGACAGTCTGTTATTCAACAATTAAATATACATTTATCTCAAATGCACATAAAATATTATCTAGGGTAGACCATATACAAAGCCATAAAACATTTTAATACATGTGAAAGGACAGAAATAACACAAGGAATATTCTTTGAATACAAAGGAAATAAATTATAAATTGATAACATAAAAAAATTGAGAAACTTACAAATATGTGAAAATAAGATAACATACTCTTAAATAACCAATAGGTCAAAGAAGAAATAAAAATAGAAATCATAAAATACATTGAGATGATAAAAATGAAGACACAATTTATGGGATACAGCCAAAGCAATACACAGAGAAAAGTTTATAGCTGTAAATACCTATATGAAGATCTCAAATCAATAACCTAATCTTATACATTAAGACCCTAGGAGATGAGCAAACTGAACCTAAAGCAAGTGAAGGTATGAACATAATTAAGATCAGGGCAAGAATAAATGAAATAGAGAACAGACAAACAATGGAGATAAATCAATAAAACAAAAAACTTGTTCTAGGAAAACATCAATAAAATTAACACACTTGGCTAAACTGACCCTAATAAAAATACAGAAGACTGATTTCTAGAATCAGGAATGAAAGAGGATATAGGACTATAAACTTACAACAATAAAAAGTATTAGAAAGGAATTCTAATTAATGATTATATGCCCAAAAAAAGAAATAAACAAATCCCAGGAAGGCACAAAATACCAAAATTAATTTAAGAAGAAATAAACAATCTGAATAGACCCATAACACCTAGAAAGGCTGAGTTAGTAGTTTTAAAATTACTCACAAAGAAAATATCAGGCCCAGAGGGCTTCACCTATAAATTCTACCAAATATTTAAATAAGAATTAATACCAATTCTTTATTTCACAAACTCTTCTGAAAATTGAAGAGGAGAAAACACTTCCCAAATTATTTTAGAATAAAATGACAAAACCAGACAGAGACGTCACAAGAAAATAAAACTATTTATCTCTTAAGAATACGTACACAAAAATTTTTGACAAAATGCTAACAAATCAAATACAGCAACATATAAGAATTACACACCATGACTAACTAGGATTTATCCCAGGAATGTAAGTTATTTCAGTATCTGAAAATCAGTTAATGTCATACATATCAATAGAATAAAGATCACACAATCATGCCAATGGATGCCCAAAGAGCATTTGACAAAATCCAGCATGCCTTTATGGTATTAAAAAAAAAACAAACATGACTGGGCACGGAGGCGCACACCTGTAATCCCAGTACTTTGGGAGGCCGAGGCAGGCGGATCACCTGAGGTCAGGAGTTTGAGACCAGCCTGACCAACATGGAGAAACCCCATCTCTACTAAAACATTTACCAGAGATTTTATCCAGAGAAACTTGGCAAGAAAAATATATAAAAGGCATCTGAATAGGAAAGGAAGGCCAGATGCAATGGCTCATGCCTGTAATTTCAGCACTTTGGAAGGCCAAGGCGGGCAGATCACTTGAGGTTGGGAGTTTGAGAACAGCCTGGCTGATATGGTGAAACCCCATCTCTACCAAAAAATACAAAAATTAGCTGGGCGTGGTGGCGTGCACCTTGAGTCCCAGCTACTCAGGAGGCTGAGGTGGGAGAATCACTTGAACCTAGGAGACAGAGGTTGCAGTGAGCCAAGATGGTACCAATGCACTCTAGTCAGGGTGACTATGTCTAGCTAGACTTTGTCTCAAAAAAAACAAAAACAAAACAAAACAAAACCCAGATAGGAAGGGAAGAAGTAAACTATCTTGTATATAGAAAATATGAATTAATCTACTTTTTGAAAAAAGAATTAGAATTAATAAATGAACTCAGCAAGGTTGCAAGATACAGTATCTATATAAAAATCAATTGTATTTCTATACATTTGCAGTGAACATCTGAAAATGAAATTAAGAAAACAATTCTGGGGCAGGCACAGTGGCTCACACCTGTAATCCCAGCTCTCTGGGAGGCCGAGGATGGAGAATCACTTGAGGCCAGGAGTTCAAGACCAGCCTGAGCAACATGGCAAAATCCTGTCTCTACAAAAAATAAAAAAAAATTAGTCAGGTGTAGTGGTGCATGCCTATAGTCCCAGCTACTCAGGAGGCTGAGACAGGAGGATCTCTTGAGCCCAGGGAAGAGAAGGCTGCAGTGAGCTGATTGTGCTACTGCACTCCAGCCTGGGTGACAGAGTGATACTGTGAGGAAGGAAGGAAGGGAGGAAGGGAGGAAGGAAGGCAGGAAGGCAGGAAGGCAGGAAGGCAGGAAGGAAGGAAGGCAGGAAGGCAGGAAGGAAGGAAGGAAGGAAGGACCTAATAATTCTGTTCATAATAGCATCAAAAAATAAAATAAGGCCAGATGTGGTGGCTCATGCCTGTAATCCCAGCACTTTGGGAGATCGAGGTAGGAGGATCATTTGAGGCCAGGAGTTCGAGACCAGCCTGGCCAACATGGTGAAACCCCATCTCTACCAAAAATACAAAAAAATAGCTGGGCATGGTGATGCATGACTGTAATCCCAGCTACTTGGGAGGCTGAGGCACAAGAATTGCTTGAACCTAGGAGGTAGAAGTTGCAGTGAGCCAAGATCATGCCACTGCATTCCAGCCTGGTTGAGAGAACAAGTCTCTGTCTCAATAAAATAAAATGAAATAATAAAATAAAAAAGTAAAATAAACAATAAATAAAATAAAATCTTTAGGAATACATTTATCCAAAAAAGTGCACATCTTATACCCTAAAAACTATAAAATATTGTTGAAAGAAATTAAAGAAGACCTAAATAAATGGAAAAACATCCCATATTTATGGATTGGAAGACTTAACATTGTTAAAATGATAAACTGATTCCCAAACTGATCTAAAGAATGAACACACTCCCTCTAAGAATCTCAGCTGACTTCTTTGTATAAATTGAAAATTTTATCCTAAAATCTGTATAAAATTGCAAGTGATCTAGCATAGCCAAAGGATATGATGTGTGTCCCATCCAAATACGTTGAAATGAGATCTCCAGTGTTGGAGGTGGGGCCTAGTGGGAGGTGTTAGATCATGGGGCAGATCCCTCATGAATGGCCTAGCACTATCCCCTTTGTGATAAATGTGCTCTTGCTCTGAGTTCACATGAGATCTGGTTGTTTAAGAGTCTGGGACCTCTCCGACTCTCTCTCTCTCTCTTGCTCCTGCTCTTGCCATGTGACATGCTGGCTCTCCATCACCTTCCACCAGGATTCTTAGCTTCCTGAGGCCTCACCAGAAGCTGATGAGCCTCACCAGATGCTGATATACTTCATCTACAGCCTACAAAACTGTGAGCAAATTAAGCTTTTCTTTATAAGTTTTATAAAGTTTTATAAAGAAGTTTTATTAACTTTTTCTTTATAAATTACTCAGCTTCAGGTATTTATTTATAGAAACACAAGAATGAATTAATACAGATAATTGGTACCAAGGTGTGGGGCATTGCTACAAAGATACCTGAAAATGTGGAAGTGGCTTTGCAACTTGGTAATAGGCAGAGGTGGAAGAGTTTGGAGAAGATGATAGAAAGATGAGGGAAAGTTTGCAATTTCTTAGAGACTGATTAAATTATTGTGATTAAAATGCTGAAAAAATATGGACAGTGATGTCCAGGCTGATGAGATGGAAATGAGGAAATAACTCCAGTTATTGGAGTTATGCCCTATCAACTGGAGTTACCCATGTTATGCCCTAGCAAAGAACTCAGCTGCATTGTGTGCATGTTTTAGAGATCTGTGGAAATTTGAAATTAAGAGTGACGAAATTTCATAGAAGAAATTTCTAAGCAACAAAGTGTTCAAGAAGTGGTATGGCTGTTTCTAACAACCTATTATCAGATGTGGGAGCAAAGGAATGACTTAAAGTTGCAACTTATATTTAAAAGGGAAGCAGTGTCAACATTTAGAAATTTTGCAGCCTGGCCTTATGGTAGAGAAAGAATCCAAGCAGGCTGTGGAACAACCAGTTGCTAGAGAGATTAGCATGACTAAAAGGGAGCAAACTGCTAATATCCAAGACAATGGGAAAATAGTCTCAAAGGCATTTCAGAGATCTTCAAGGCAGCCCCTCCCATCACAAGCCCAAAGGCCTAGTAGGAAAAAATGGTTTCAAGGTTCAGGACTGGGACTCTGCTGCTCTACACTACCTCAAGAGGCTGCACCCCATAACCCTGCTGCTACAGCTCCAGCTGTGGCTCAAAGGACTTCAGGTATACCTTGGGCTCCCACTTCAGAGCATGCAAGCCATAAGCCTTGGAAGCTTCCATGTGGTGTTAAGCCTGTAGAAATACAGAATGCAAGAATGAAGGAAATCTTGGTTTGGCATCTGCCAGCTAGATCTCAGAGGATGTATGGAAAAGCCTGGGTGCCCAGGCAGAAGCCTGCTACAGGGTTGGAGCCCCCATAGAGAAACTCCAGGGCAATGCTGAGGGGAAATGTGGGGTTGGAGCACCCTACACAGAGTCCATACTAGTGGAGCTGTGGGAAGGGTCCACCACCCTCTAGACCCCAGAATGGTAGGTCCACTTGCAGCTTGCACCCTGAGCCCAGAAAAGCTGCAGGCACTCAACTCTAACCCACGAGAGCAGTCACATGGGCTGTGCCCAGGAAAGGCACAGGGATGAAGCTACCCAAGGCCTTGGGAGCCCATCCCTTGCACCAGGATGCAAGATACAGAGTTAAGAATTATGCTGGAGCTTTAAGATTTAATGCCTGCCCTGCTGGGTTTCAGACTTGCATGGGGCCTTGTACCCTCTTCTTTTTGCCAATTTCTCCCTTTTGGAATGGGAATGTTTACTCAATGCCTGTACACCACTATTGCATCTTGGAAGTAAATAATTTGGTTTTGACTTTGCAGGCTCATGGATGGAAGAAACTTGACTTCAGTTTCAGATGAGACTTTGGACTTTGAACTTTTGAGTGAGTTGATGCTAGAATGCTTTAAGATTTTGAAGAACTTTGGGGAAGGAATGATTGTATTTTCCAATGTGAAAAGGATGTGAGATTTAGGGGGAGCAGGGGAAAAATATATGGTTTGGATGTGTGCCTCCTCCAAACTTCATGTTAAAATGTGATCTCTAATATTGGAGGTGGGGCCTAGTGGGTGGTATTGGATCATGGGGGTGGATCCCTCATGAATGGCATGGCACCATCCTCTTTGTGATAAATGGGCTCTTACTCTGAGTTCACATGACATCTGGCTATTTTTAAAAGTCTGGGACCTTCCCCCTTTGTCTCTTGCTCTCCCTTTGCCATGGAACATGCTGGCTCCCTGCTCCCTGTCACCTTCTGCCAAGATTATAAGTTTCTTAAAGCCTCACCAGAAGCAGATGCTGGCACTATGCTTCCTTTATGTTCAGCCTGCAGAACCTTGAGCCAATTAAACCTCTTTTCTTTATAAATTACCCAGCCTCAAGTATCTCTTTATAGCAACATAAGATGGACCAATACACTAAATAATCCTGAAAAAGAACAAAGGGGGATGACTCATACTTCCCAATTTCAAAACCTACTGCAAAACAATGATAATCAAGACAATGTGGTACTAGTACAAGGACTAATATATCAATAAATGGAGTAAACTTGAGAGTCCAGAAATAAATCCATGCATCTATGGCCTACTGATTTTCAGCAAAGTGCCAAGACTGTTCAGTGGGGAAAGAACAGCTGGATAGCTACATACAAAAGAATGAAGTTGGTCTCTTATTTTACATCAAATACAAAGGTAACTCAAAATGAGTCAAGGATATAAGTGTAAGAGTTTTGCTCTTTATAGTTTTAGACTATAAAACTCTTAGGGAGAACAAAAAAAGTAAAGAAATCAAAATCCTCATATACTGCTATGTGAGAATGTGAGATTGTACAGCTGCTTTAGAAAACAGTCTGCCAGTTCCTCACATGGTTGCACGTAGTGTTAACATATGGCCCAGAAAATCCACTTCTAGGAATATTCATAAGAAATGAAAACATACGTCCACACCGAAATCCACACATAAATATTCATGCAGCATTATTCATAATAGCCAAAAGGTGGAAACAACACCACAAATGTTAAGCAACAAATAAATGGATTTAAAAAGTGGTATATTCGTGTAATGGAATATTATTTAGTCATATTCATATTCATACAATGGAATATTATGTAGTCATAAAAACAAATGAAGTACTAATATATGGTACTTACATGAACTCTGAAAATCCATTAAGAAGCCAAACATAAAAGTCCACGTATTATCTAATCCCATTTGTGTGAAAGTCCAGACCGGGGAAATCTATAGAAGGAAAGTAGATTAGTGGTTACTTAGGACTGGGCAGGGTTAGAGTGAGAGAGAGCTTGTCAGAGTATGTGAGTTTTTTGAGGTAATTAAAACATTCTAAAATTGACTGTGGCAATGGTGGCACATATCTTTGAATATACTAAAAACTGTTAAATCGTACACATTAAATGGCTGAATTATGTGGTATGTGGATTATAGTTCAACAGAGCTATTTTTAAAATACATATGGAGGAAAAGGGTGTCAAGAATAACCAAGATACCTGTTAAGAAGAGCAGAGAGAGGGGATCAGATATGAGGATTTATTATGGAGCTGTAATAAAGACAGTGTGGTATTAGTTCAGGGATAAATAAATTGGTCAATGGAATAAAACTGACAGCCTAAAAATGCATGTATGTTAGGAACATTTTCATATGATAAATATGGAATGCATGATCGATATGAAAAGAAGTAGTTGATTGTTTAACAAATCGAGCTGGAAAAAATGATTTTCACATGGAAAATTTGAAATTGAATTCCTACCACACACCGTCTACAAAAATCAATTCCAAATGGATTTAGGGCTTAAACTCAGGAATAGAACTTTAAAACTCTCAGTATAAAATACAGGGTAAATGATAAAGAATAGAGAACCCAGAAATAAAGCCACATACCTACAGCCATCTGATATTCAAGGAAGTCAACAAAAATAAGCAACGGGGAAAGGACACCCTATTCATTAAATGGTGCTGGGATAACTGGCTAGCCATATGCAGAAGAATAAAACTGAACCCCTACCTTTCACTGTATACAAAAATTAACTCAAGGTGGATTAAAGATTTAAATATAAGACCTCAAACTAAGAATCCTAGAAGAAAACCTAGGATATACCATTCTGGACATCGGCCTTGGGAAATAATTTATAACTTAGTCCTCAAAAGCAATTGCAACAAAAATAAAAATTGACCAATGGGACCTAATTAAACTAAGGAGCTTCTGGACAGCAAAATAAACTATCAATAGACTAAACAGACAACCTACAGGAGAAAATACCTGCAGACTGTGCATCTGAGAAAGGTCTAATATCCAGACTCCATAAAGAACTTAAACAATTCAACAAGCAAAAAACAAATAACCCCATTAAAAAGTGGGCCAAAGACATAAACAGACACTTCTTAAGAGAAGACACACATGGCCAACAAACATATGAAAAAATGTTAAACATCACTATCATCAGAGAAATGCAAATCAAAATCACAATGAGATATCATCCCATATGAGTCAGAATGGCTATTATTAAAAAGTGAAAAAATAACAGAAGGCGGGTGCGGTGGCTCATGCGGGTAATCCCAGCACTTTGGGAGGCCAAGGCAGATGGATCATGAGGTCACGAGATCGAGACCAGCCTGACCAACATGGTGAAACTCTGTCTCTACTAAAAATACAAAAATTAGCTGGGCGTGTTGGTGCATGCCTGTAATCCCAGCTACTCGGGAGGGTGAGGCAGAAGAACCCGGGAAGTGGAGGTTGCAGTGAGCTGAGATCACACCACTGCACTCCACCCTGGTGAGGGAGCGAGACTCCGTCTAAAACAAACAAACAAACAAACAAAAACAGATGGTGATGAGGCTGTGGAGGAAAGGAAACACTTATTCACTGTTGGTGGGAATGTAAATTAGTTCAGCCACCGTAAAAAGCAGTTTGGAGATTTCTCAAAGAACTTAAAACAGAACCATTTGACCCAGCAATCCCATTACTGGGTATATACTCAAAGGAAAATAAATCTTTCCACCAAAAAGCCCTATGCACTCATATGTTCATTGCAGCGTTATTCACAATAGCAAAGACATGGAATCAAACTAAATGCCCATCAAGAGTGGATTGGATAGAGAAAATGTGGTACATGCTACACCATGAAATATGTCATAGCCATAAAAATAATAAAATCAGATACTTTGCAGCAACATAGAAGCAGCTGGAGGACATTATCCTAAGCGAATTAATGCAGGAACAGAAAACCAAGTATCACATGTTCTCACTTATAACTGACAGCCAAGCATTGAGTACATATGGACATAAAGATGGGAACAGCAGGCACTGAGGACTAATGGTGAGGGCAAGGGCTGAAAAACTACCTATTGGGTACCGTGCTCACTATGTGGGTTATAGGATCATTTATACCCTCAATCTCAGTGTCACTCAACATACCCTTGTAACAAATGTGCACATATATCCCTTGAATCTAAAATAAAAGCTGAAATTTTAAAAATTTTAAACAAATAAATAAAATATGAGGTAAATATTTTTAAATCTTAGTATTAAAATCTTATTTTTTTTTTGAGACGGAGTTTCACTCTTGTTGCCCAGGCTGGAGTGCAATGGGGCGATCTCAGCTCACTGCAACCTCCGCCTCCCACGTTCAAGCGATTCTCCTGCCTCAGCCTCCCAAGTAGCTGGGATTACCAGCACCTGCTACCACACCCAGCTAATTTTGTATTTTTAGTAGAGGTGGGGTTTCTCCATGTTGCTCAGGCTGGTCTCGAACTCCCGACCTCAGGTGACCTGCCCACCTCGGCCTCCCAAAGTGCTGGGATTACAGGCGTGAGCCACTGCACCCGGCCTTTATCTTTTAATAAGATACAAGATCTATTAATTTTTATAAGTACTAATGTCTGAATAATTGGTGTTCATAACTATTGTTCATCAAAACATAACTTCAAAAACATGAAAAGAAAAGTTACTAAGAGAAGATATTTTCAATACACACCTATGAACAAGTTGGATCGATAATACATAAATGACAATAACAAATCAATAAGGGAAGGATAAGTAACTTAATGGGAAGATGAGCAGAAACTTGAGTGAGGAAACATATCTGTCCAATAAGCATACATAGGCTGCTCATTGTTAGTGATCAGGAAAAGTCATATCAAGATCGCAATGCAATACTATTTTAAACTGTGTTAATTGGGAAGAACTTAAAAGTCTGAAATATCAAATGTTGGGGAAGATCTGGAGAATAAATTGGTGTAACCAGTTGGGAAACCGTTTGGCATTACCTTTTAAAGTTGAGCATTCACATGCTTTATGATCCAGCAATGTGACGATATAGCAGCAGTTTCCTATATCAAAAGAAACTTTGACACTTGTATAGCAGGACACATATACAAGAACGTTCATAGTAGTGCAGTTCACTAGAGAAAAATCTGGAAATAACCAAAATGTTCATCAATGGGAAAGTGGATTTTTTTAAAAAACAACATGTAATGAAATATTATACATCTATAAAAAACAACATGAAGCTTAGCAAAAGGTTATTAAGGGGGAAAATCCCAAAATACTATAGATATAGCTTTTTCATAAAATATAAAAATAGAACCTAAACTCAAATATATATCACACTAACAGAATCAAGAACAAAAACCATATGATTATTTCAATAGATGCTGAAAAAGTGTTTGATAAAATTCAACATTCCTTCATGATAAAAACATGCAACAAACTGGGTATATAAAAGGAACATACCTCAAAACAGTAAAAGCCATATATGACAAATCCATAGTTAATATAATGGGGAAAATTAAAAGACTTCCTTTTAAGGTCTGGAACATGACAAGGATGCCCACTTTCATCACTTTTACTCAACATAATATTGGAAGTCCTAGATAGGGCAATTAGGCAAGTGAAAGAAATGAAGCACATCCGAATTAAAAAGGAAGAAGTCAAATCATCCTCCTTTGCAGACAACATGATCCTATATTTAGAAAAACCTAAACTAAAAAACTGTTATAGCCGACAAACTAATTCAATAAAGTTGCAGGATGCAAAATCAACATATAAAAATCAGTAGCATTTCTATACACCAACTGTGAACAACCTAAAAAAAAAAAAATGGCCAGGCGCGTTGGCTGATGCCTGTAATCCCAGAATTTTGGGAGGCCAAGGCGCGTGGATCACTTGAGATCAGGAGTTCCAGACCAGCCTGGCTAACATGGTGAAACCCCATCTCTATTAAAAATATAAAAATTAGTCGGTGTAGTGACACATGCCTGCAGTCCCAGCTACTGAGGAGGCTGAGGCAGGAGAATCACTTAAACTCAGGAGGCGGAAGGTGCAGGGAGCCTAGATCACACCACTGCACTCCAGCCTGGGTGACAGAGTGAGACTCCATCTCAAACAAATAAATACATAAATAAATAAATAAAAAATTAAGAAAGCAATCCCTTTAATTGTAAATCTTTGTAGTAAGTGTTCTTTATTGTAAATTCCATTTACGATAGATACAAAAAAAACCTTGGAATAAATTTAACCAAAAAAGTGAAAGATCTCTATAACAAAAACTATGATCAACACTGATTAGAGAAATTGAAGAGGAACCAAAAAAAAAAAAAAAAAAGAAAAGAAAAGACATCCCATGCTTATGGGTTGGAAGAATTAATATTGTTAAAATGTCCAGTCAAAACTATCTACAGATTCAATGCAACCCCTATCAAAACACCAAGCACAGCCATTTCTAAAAATCCTGTAATCTGTATAGAAACACAAAAACAAAAACACAACAAATAGCCAAAGCAATCCTTAACAACAGGAACAAAGTTGAAGGCATAACACTACCAGACTTTAAAATATACCACAAAGCTATCGTACCAAAAGAGCATGGTACTGGCATAAAACTGATGTGTAAACCAATGGAACAGAGTAGAAAACCCATAAATAAATCCACGCATTTATAGCCAATTCATTTTGACAAAGGTACCAAAAACATACAGTGAGGAAAAGACAGTCTCTTCAGTAAATGGTGTGGGAAAACTAGATGTCCATATGCAAAAGAATGAAACTAGACCCCTATCTCTCACCATATATAAAAATCAAATAAAAAAAGAATAAAGACGTGAATGTAAGACCTGAAGCTATGATACTACTAGAAGAAAACATTGGGGAAGCACCTCAGAACATTAGTCTTGGCAAAGATTTTTTGGGCAAGATCTCAAAAGCACAGGCAACCAAAGCAGAAACAGGCAAATGAGATCACATCAAGCTGAAAAGCTTCTGCACAGCAAAGGAAATAATCAACAGAAAGAAGAAATATTATACTGAATGGGAGAAAATATTTGCAAACTATTCCCCTGACAAGGGATAGTACCAGAATATATAAAAACTGCAAACAACTCAATAGCAAAAAACAAAACAAAACACAAAACAAACAAAAACAAAAAAAACACCAAGCAACCCTATTTTTAAAATGGGCAAATGATCTGAAAAAAATATGTAAAATATTTAATATCATTAATCCTAAGGGAAATGCAAATCAAAACCACAGTGAGATATCATCTCACTCCAGTTAAAATGACTACTATCAAAAAGAAAATAATGATGCTGGCTGTGGAGAAAGGGGAAGGCTCATACACTGTTGGCAGGGAGGTAAATTAGCATTGCCACTATGGAAAACAGTATAGAGATTCCCCAAAAAACTACAAATAAAGCTACCATGTGATCCAGCAATCCCACTGCTAGGTATATATTTAAAAGAAAGAAAATCAGTATCTTCAAGAGATACCTGCACTCTCATGTTTATTGCAGCATTATTCACAATAGCCAGGATATGAAATCAATGTAAGTGTCCATCAGTGGATGAATGGATGAAGAAAATGTGGTAAACATACACAGTGAATATTATTCAGCCATAAAAAAATGAAATTCTGTCACTTGCAGCAACACGGATGGAACTGGAGGTATTAAGTGAAATAAGCAAAGCACAGAAGACTACTATTACATATTCTCCCTCATATGCAGGAGCTTAAAAAGTTGATCTCATGAAGGTGGAGAGTAGGATAATGGTTACCAGAGTCTGGGAAGGGTGAGGTGGATGACAAAGATAGGTTGGGTAATGTGTACAAAAATACAGTTAGAAGGAAGAAGTTCTAGTGCCTGATAGCACAATAGGGTAACACACTGTATTGGGTTGTTCTTTTGTTGCTCTAAAGGAATACCTGAGACTGGGTGATTCATAAAGAAAAGAGATTTAATGGGCTCACAGTTCTGCAGGCCATACAGGAAGCATGGTGCTGGCATCTGCTTGGCTTCTGGGAAGGCTTCAGGGAGCTTTTACTCATGGTGGCAGGCAAGCAGGAGCAGGCAGGTCGCATGGCCAGAGCAAGAGCAAGGTGTAGGGCCAGGGAGGTGCCACACTCTTTTAAACAACCAGATGTTGTGAGAACTTACTCACCACCAAAGGGATAATGCTAAATCATTCATGAGGGATCTGCCCCATGATCCAAACACCTACCACCAGGCCCCACCTCTAACATTAGGGATTATATTTCAACACGAGATTTGAGGAAACAAATATACAAACTATATCATATAGTTAACAATAATTTATTGTATATTTTTAAATAACTAGAAAAGAAGATCTGGAATGTTATGAACACAAAGAAATGATGAATATTTGAGGTGACGGATATCTTAATTACCCTGATTTGATCATTATACATTGTACGCAAATATCAAAATATCACATGTACATCATAAATACGTACATTATTATGTATCGACAACAAAATATATCCATGTATCCATTCATTCATCTATCAGGGGAGGGAGGGGGGAAAAGATATAACAAACTAATTAGGAGGAAAAGCAAGCAAACCCTTACCACCTGGATTCAGGATGATTACCTTTTGTCAGGAAAGGTGGGAAAATGAGATACTGAGTAAAATGTATGGTTAGATATAGGTTATTGCTAAAGTTGTAACTTCTGTTTTCACAGGAGTTCATTGCTTTATTATTGGTTAATATAATGTATTAACTAACCAAATATCTAAATAAAAGCAAGAGAGGAAAGAGTCACTAGCTAGACAACTGCTTACCAACACAAAACTCATGTTTTTATTCTTTCTTTGCTAAAATGAGAAGGGAAATTCTGTGTGTGTGTCAGGGTGGAGGTGATGGGAGTCACCATCCCATCATTCACTGAGTTTATTATTTCAATCTTTATATTGTTCAATTCTTGAAGTTTTATTTGATCCTTTTCTTTTCTTCTAAATAGATTTGATAGTCTCCTTTTCCTGGCTCTTTCAAGCTTTCCTTTTAACATATTAAACATTCATTTTATATTCTGTATCTGATAATTCAAGTAACTATTACTGCTTATTTGCTCTGCTAGTTTTCACTCTTGGTATCTTGTGCATTTGTGATTTGTTTTTTTGTTTTGTTTTTTTTTTTTTTTTTGAGATGGAGTCTCAACTGGAGTGCAGTGGCACGATCTCAGCTCACTGCAACCTCCACCTCCCAGGTTCAAGTAATTCTCCTGCCTCAGCCTCCAGAGTAGCTGGGATTACAGGTGTGCACCACCACCATGCCTGACTAATATGTACCACATTTTCTTTATCCAGTCTGTCGTTGATGGGCCGTTGGATTGATTCCATGTCTTTGCTATTGTGAATAGTGCTGCAATGAACATACATGTGTATGTATCTTTATGATAGAATGATTTATATTTCATTGGGTATATACCCAGTAATGGGATTGTTGGGTCAAATGGTATTTCTGCCTCCAGGTCTTTGAGGAATCACCACACTGTCTTCCACAATGGTTAAATTAATTTACACTCTCACCAACAGTGTAATAGTGTTTCTTTTTCTTTGCAACCTTGCCAGCATCTGCTGTTTTTTTGGATTTTTAATAGTAGCCATTTTGACTGGTATGAGATGGTATCTCATTGCAGTTTTGATTTGCATTTCTGTAATTATCAACAATGTTGAGCTTTTTTTTCATACGTTTGTTGGCCACATCTATGTCTTCTTTTGAAAAGTGCCTGTTCAAGTACTTTGCCCACCTTTTAAAGGAGTTGTTTGTTTCTGGTCCTGTAAATTTGTTTAAGTTCCTTGTAGACTCTGGATATTTGACCTTTGTCAGATGGATAGATTGCAAAACGTTTCTTCTATTCTGTAGGTTGTCTTTTCACTCTGATGATAGTTTATTTTGCTGGGCAGAGGCTCTTTAGTTTAATTAGATCCTATTTGTCAATTTTTGCTTTTGTTGCAATTGCTTTTGGCGTTTTTTTATTTATTTTATTTTATTTTATTTTATTTTATTTTATTTTTGAGACAGACTCTTGCTCTGTCACCTAGGCTGGAGTGCAGTGGCATGATATTCGCTCACTGCAACCCCTGCCTCCCAGGTTCAAGTGATTTTCCTGCCTCAGTCTCTCGAGATTACAGGTGCCCACCATGGGATTACAGGTGCCCACCATGACGTCTGGCTAAGTTTTGTATTTTTAGTAGAGATAGTGTTCCACCATGTTGGTCAGGCTGGTCTCAAACTCCTGACCTCAGGTAATCCACCCACCTTGGACCCCCTAAGTGCTGCAATTAAAGGCGTGAGCCACTGAGCCTGGCTGCTTTTGGCGTTTTAATCATAAAATCTTTGCCTGTGCCTATGTCCTGAAGGTATTGCCTAGATTTTCTTCTAGGGTTTTTATAGTTTGGGGTTTTACATTTAAGTCTTTAATCCATCTTGAGTTGATTTTTGTATATGGTGTAAGGAAGGGGTCCAGTTTCAATTTTCTGTATATGGCTAGCCAGTTCTCTCAGCACCATTTATTAAATAGGGAATCCTTTCCTTATTGCTTGTTTTTGTCAGCTTTGTCAAAGATCAGATGGCTGTAGGTGTTTGGTCTTATTTCTGTGTTCTCTATTCTGTTCCATTGATTTATGTGTCTATTCTTGTACCAGTACCATGCTGTTTTAGTTACTGTAGGCTTGTAGTATAGTTTGAAGTTGGGTAGTGCGATGCCTCCAGCTTTGTTCTTTTTGCTTAGGATTGTCCATATGAATTTTAAAATGGCTTTTTCTAATGTTGTGAAGAATGTCAATGATAGTTTAATGAAATAGCATTGAATCTATTAATTACTTTGGGCAGTATGGCCATTTTCATGATATTGATTCTTTCTATCCATGAGCATAGAATGTTTTTCATTTGTTTGTGTCCCCTCTGATTTCTTGGAGCAGTGGTTTGTAGTTCTCCTTGAAGAGGTCCTTCACTTCCCTTGCTAGCTGTATATTTAGGTATTTGATTCTTTCTGTAGCAATTATGAATGGGAGTTCATTCATGATTAGGCTCTCTGCTTGTCTGTTGTTGATGTATAGGCATGCTTGTGATTTTTGCACATTGATTTTGTATTCTGAGACTTTACTGAGGTTGCTTATCAACTTAAGAAACTTTGGGCTGAGACAATGGGGTTTTCTACATATAGGATCATGTAATCTGCAAAGATAATTTGACTTCCTCTCTTACTATTTGAATATCCTTTATTTCTTTCTCTTGTCTGATTACCTTGGCCAGAACTTCCAATACTATGTTGAATAGGAGTGGTGAGAGACAGGACATCCTTGTCTTGTGCTGATTTTCAAGGGGAATGCTTCCAGCTTTTGCCCATTAAGTATGATATTGGCCGTGGGTTTGTCATATATAGCTCTTATTATTTTGAGGTATGTTCCTTCACAATCTAGTTTGAGAATTTTTAACATGAAGGGGTGTGGAATTTTATCAAAGGATTTTTCTGCATCTGTTGAGATAATCATGTGGTTTTTGTCTTAGGTCTGTTTATGTGATGAATCACATTTATAGATTTGCGTATGTTGAACCAACCTTGCATCATGGGGATGAAGCCAACTTGATAGTGGTGGATAAGCTTTTTGATATGCTACTGGATTCAGTTTCCCAGCATTTTATGGAGGATTTTTGCATCAATGTTCATCAAGGATATTGACCTTAAGTTTTCTTTTTTTGTTGTATCTCTGCCAGGTTTTGGTATCAGGATAATGCTGGTCTCATAAAATGAGTTAGAGAGGAGTCCCTCATTTTCAATTTTTTGAATAGTTTTAGTAGAAATGGTACCAGCTCTCCTTTGTACTTCTGAGAGAATTCAGCTGTGAATCCATATGGTCTTGGACTTTTTTTGGTTGGTAGGCTATTTATTACTGCCACAATTTCAGAACTCATTATTGGTCTATTCAGGGATTCAATTTCTTCCTGTTTCAGTCTTGGGTGGGTATATGTGTCCAGGAATGTATCCATTTTGTCTAGATTTTCTAGTTTATGTGCATAGAAGTGTTTATAGTATTCTCTGATGGTCATTTGTATTTCTGTTGGGTCAGTGGTGATATCCCTCTTATCATTTATGATTGTGTCTATTTGATTCTTCTCTCTTTTCCTCTTTATTAGTCTAGCCAGCAGTCTATTTTATTAATTTTTTCAAAAAGCCAGCTTCTGGATGCATTTATTTTTTGAAGGATTTTTTTTTGTGTCTATCTCCTTCAGTTCAGCTCTGATCTTGGTTATTTCTTGTCTTCTGATAGCTTTGGGGTTTGTTTGCTTTTGGTCCTCTAGTTCTTTTAGTAGTTATGTTAAGTTGTTAACTTGAGATCTTTCTAGCTTTTTGATGTAGGCATTTAGTGCTATAAATTTCCCTCTTAACACTGCTTTAGCTGCATCCCAGAGATTCTGGTATATTGTCTCTTTGTTCTCATTAGTTTCAAAGAACTTCTTGATTTCTGCCTTAATTTCATTATTTACTCGAGTCATTCAAGAGCAAGTTGTTCTATGTATTTGTGTGGTTTTGAGTAAATTTCTTAATCTTGAGTTCTAATTTGATTGTGTTGTTGTCTGAAAGACTGCTGTTATGATCTCAGCTATTTTAATAGCATTTGCTGAGGAGTGTTTTACTTTTGATTATGTGATCAATTTTAGAGTGACTGCCACGTGATGTGGAGAACAATGTATGTTCTGTTTTTTTTGGGTGGAGAGTTCTGTACACATCTATCAGGTCCACTTGATCCAGAGCTGAGTTCAGGATCCAGATCCTGAGTATTGTTGTTAATTTTCTGTCTCAATTATCTGTCTAATATTGCCAGTGGGGTGTTAAAGTCTACCACTAGTAATGTGTGAGTTTAAGTCTCTTTGTAGGTCTCTAAGAATTTGCTTTATGGATCTGGGTGTTCCTGTATTGGGTGCATATACATTTAGGATATATTCAATTCTTGTTGAATTGAACCCTTTACCATTATATAATGCCCTTGTCTTTTTTATCTTTGTTGGTTTAAAGTCTGTTTTGTCAGAAACTAGGATTGCAACCCTTGCGTCTTTCTGTTTTCCATTTGCTTGGTAAATTTTCCTCCATCCTTTTATTTTGAGCCTATGTATGTCTTTGCATGAGAGATGTGTCTCTTGAAGACAGCCTATTGATGAGTCTTGGCTGTTTATCCAGCTTGCCATTCTGTGTCTTTTAATTGGAGCATTTAGCCTATTTACATTTAAGATTAGTGTTGTTAGGTGTGAATTTGGTCCTGTCATCCTAATGCTAGCTGGTTACTTTGCAGACTTGTTTATGTGGTTGCTTCATAGTGTCACTGGTCTCTGTACTTTAGTGTGTTTTTGTAGCAGGTGGTAACAGTTTTTCCTTTCCATATTTAGTGCTTTCTTCAGGATCTCTTGCAAGGCAGGCCTGTTGGTGATGAATTCCCTCATCATTTGTTTGTCTGAAAAAGATCTTATTTCTCCTTCACTTATGAAGCTTAATTTGGCTAAATATGAAATATTGAATTGGAAATTCTTTAAGAATGTTGAATATTGGCTCCCAATTTCTTCTGGCTTAGGGTTTCCACTGAGAGGTCTACTGTTAGTCTGATGGGCTTCCCTTTGTAGGTGACCTGGACTTTCTCTCTGGCTGCCCTTAACATTTTTTCTTCCATTTTGACCTTAGAGAATCTGTTAATTATGTTTCTTGGAGATGACCTTCTCACAGCGTATCTTATTGGGGTTCTCTGCATTTCCTGAATTTGAATGTTGGCCTGTCTTGCTAAGTTGGGAAAGCTCTCCTGGACGATATCCTGAAGTATGTTTTCCAACTTGGCTCCATTCTCCCCCTCTCTTTTAGGTACCCCAATCAGTCATAGGTTCAGTCTCTTTAAATAATCTATTTCTCAGAGATTTTATTCATTAATTTTCACTCTTTTTTTCTCTCTTCTTGTCTGCCTGTTTCAGAAAAATGGTCTTCAAACTCTGAGACTCTTTCCTCCACTTGGTCTATTCTGCTATTGACACTTGTGATTGCATTGCGAAGTTCTCGTATTGTGTTTTTCAGCTCCTTCAGGTCAGTTATGTTCCTCTCAAAACTGGCTATTCTGGCTATCAGCTCCTGTATTGTTTTATCATGATTCTTAGGTACTTTGCATTGGGTTACAACATGCTCCTTTAGCTCAGCAAAGTTCATTATTACCCACCTCTGAAGGCTACTTCTGTCAATTCAGCCATCTCAGCCTCAGCCCAGTTCTGTGCCCTTGCTGGAGAGGTGTTGTGGTCATTTGGAGGAGAAGAGGCACTCTAGCTTTGAGTTTTCAGTGTTTTTGTGTTGATTCTTTCTCATCTTTGTGGACTTATCTACCTTTGATTGTTGAGGTTGCTGACCTTTGAATGGCATCTTTGTGGGGTCTTTTTTCTTGATGTTGTTGTTTTCTGTTTTTCTTTTAACAGTCAGGCCACTCTTCCATAGGACTGCTGCAGTTTGCTGGGGGCTTGCTCCAGACCCTAGTTGCCTCAGTTTTTCCCCATACCTGGAGGTATCACCAGTGAAGGTTATGAAACAGCAAAGATGGTAGCCTGCTCCTTCCTCTGGAAGCTCTGTCCCAGTTGAACAGTGACCTGTTGTCAGCCTGAACGCTCCTGTAGAAGGTGTCTGGAGACCCCTGTTGGGAGGTCTCAGCCAGTCAGGAGGAATGGGATCAGAAACTCACTTAAAGAAACCATCTGGCTGCTTTTTGGTAGAGCAGGTGTGCTGTGTTGGGGGGACTCTTCCTTGCCCAGACCACTTGGACTCTCTAAAGCCATCAGGCTGGAACAGCTGAGTTGATCAATCTGCAGAGATGGTGGCCACCCCTCCCCCTGGATCTCCATCCCAGGAAGAGATCAGAGCTCTGTCCATATAACCCTGGCTAAAGTGGCTGAAGTTCCTGCAGGGAGGCCCCACCCAGTAAGGAGAAATGAATTGGGGTCCCACTGAAAGAAGCAGTCTGGCCACAATCTGGCAAAGCAGGTGTGCTGTATTGTGGGGGACCCTTACTCATCTGGACCATCTGGATTCTCCAAAGCCATCAGGCTGAAATGGCTGAGTCAACCAAACTGCAGAGATGGCGGCTCTCCCTCCGTTCAGGGAACATGGTCCTAACTCAGGCAGACTCCAGCCTGTTGCCATTGGTGGGCTGGAATTCCAAGCCAGTGGGTCTTAACTTGTGAGGTGCCGTGGAAGTTGGACTCACAGAATGATGCTGCTGGGCTCCCTGGATTCAGCCCCTTTCCCCAGGGTATGTACAAACGGGTTTCCCACCTTGCCAGGGATCCTGGGGACAACAGATGTAAAACTCCTGAGTCTCTGTGTGTGTGCCTGAGTGGCCAGTCTGCCAGAACTCCACACAGCTCTGTGTATTGAACCCAAGGCCTTGGTGGCCTGGGCTCATGAGCAGGTCTCCTGATCCATGGATTGCAGAGATCCATGGGAGAAGCATGATTTCCCAGGCAGGGTCGCACATTCACTCATTGCTTCCCTTGGCTGGGGATTGGGGTTCCTTTGGCTCTGTGCCACTCCTGGGTGGGCCATTGCCTCACCCTTCTTTCCTCAGTTCTTCGTGGGTTGTTTGCCTAGTCAGTCACAATGTGAGAACCTGGCGATTTCAGTTAAGGGGCTGAATTCACTCACCGCTTTCATTCCTCTCCATGAGTGCCATGGACAGCAGCTGCTTCAAATAGCCATCTTGGCCTCTCTCTGTGTTTGTGGTTTTTGACTGTGAGCTATTCATTTCCCTTTGAACCTTACCTGTAGTATTCTTTGAGGCCTGAATTGAAGGAGAGTTTCTCAGAAGATAATTTTTATTTGCTTCTATCGGCCACCTACATACTACCAACCTAGGTCCATTTAAATTCTCTGGTTGATGGTTTTGAACCACAGAGATAGTGAATTTAACCATGAACCCACATGGAAGTTGACTTGTGGTTATGGATTCTTGGAAATTTCCTCCAACATACGCCAAGATGAAGGCAAAGATGTTTCAATTCATCTCCAACAGATTGTCATTGGAGATGAATTGAATGTTTATTTTCCTATTTTACAATTTGTATGGAGCCCTTTGGGGTCTCAGCTTTATTGGAGGATTTCCTATTAGATATCCCTCAAAGCTCAAGGTTCCCAGCGTTCAGCAGAAACTTTCAGCATGAAAGACCTACTTGTTGGCACTTGGTTAGGCAAGTTTCAAAGAAAGGCCCTGACATCTTCAGACACAAAAGCTGATCTAGCAAATTCTTAACTTTTCTCTGTCCTCAATTGAAGCAACTCTTCATGCTTTGGAAATGGATTTACTTTCTAGAAAAAAGTAAAAGCAGGTTGGAATTCACAGTCCCTGCTTCTATTTATATGGGAGCTTGACAGATTCCTTATTTTTTTTTTTTTTTTTTTTTTTTGAGACGGAGTCTCGCTCTGTCGCCCAGGCTGGAGTACAGTGGCGGGATCTCGGCTCACTGCAAGCTCCGCCTCCCGGGTTCACGCCATTCTCCTGCCTCAGCCTCCCAAGTAGCTGGGACTACAGGCGCCCGCCACTACGCCCGGCTAATTTTTTGTATTTTTAGTAGAGACGGGGTTTCCCCGTTTTAGCCAGGATGGTCTCGATCTCCTGACCTCGTGATCCGCCCGCCTCGGCCTCCCAAAGTGCTGGGATTACACAGATTCCTTATTTTTGTGCCAGCTCAGAAAAGCATTTAAAAATAAATATTTTCATTTTGTAATTGCCAGTGTAGTTACTCCAATTGGGAGTATAGTTAATACTATATAACCTAGCATTCTGTCAGAAATGGAACACACTAGTACTTTCTTAATGGCTACTGACAATTGACTACTTTTGTTTACACAATACCTAAAATTTGATTGCTAACCTTTGACTGTGTGGTAGGATAGCCCCAATTACAAGCCATATTCACTTTGCATTTAACAGAAGTATGCCATGGATACATTAATCCAATTTATTTTGCATTCTAGGGGAAAATCATCTAAGCTAAATAGAATAAAATGCCATCTTCAACAAATGTGATAAAATCAGGTGTATGTGGCCTTTCTAACAGAAAATCAGTATCATAATATGACAGCCTAGGCTGACTAGAGGACTGGATCATAAATATGACTAAGACTGACTTCAAATTACCAACAATAAGGAAACGTATGAATGACCATAACTCAACATGATCAAATGTAACATAAATATATGTAGAAATACATATTCTGTTCTCTTGAGCTCAAAGAATAGACTTGGGAAAGGGTTCCTAAACTGTCTGACATTAACCTAAGGTCTTAAAAGATGAGTAGGTGCTTTCAAAAGGCAAGTTAAAAAAAAAAAAAAAGAATTCCAGACAAAAGGAACCAGCTTATGCAACAAGAAGGCATAAAAGAGCAAAGCAGATTTGGTAAACCATGAAAGGTTATGAATGGTGCAACAGATGGTATAAAACAACTCAAACCACTCAAACCAGAAAACACTATTCCAGGCTTCTTTACCCCGCACTTTTGATTGGGAATCAATAAAGTATCTCATAAAATTCTCTTTTCTCCATTCCCAATTCTACCACTTTACCTCTCTTTTTACATTTTTTGCCTAAAATATTACAAGTTTTCTAATTGGTGTCCAAGTCTTCCCACTTCCATTTTAGGCTAGTCACTGAAATGAATCGTCTAAAATACAAATCAGATCAAACCATCTCCTTGCTTAAAATCCCATATGGCTCACCAGCACTTAAGAGATAAAGTTCAACATTATTGGCACAATGCACCATTTCCTATATGACTGTCTACCTTTTCAGATTCATGCCCTATTCCTTTTTTCACATTTAACAGAAATTTTTATTAGTTTTTTTATTTCAATAGGTTTTTGGGGAACAGGTGGTGGTTGGTTACATGAATAAGTTCTTTAGTGGTGGTTTGTGAGATTCTGGTGCACCCATGACCCAAGCAGTGTACACTGTACCCAGTGTGTAGTCTTTTATCCCTCATCCTACTCCCATCTTTTCCCCTTTCCTCCGAGTCCCCAAAGTCCACTGTATCATTCTTATGCCTTTGCATCCTCATAGCCTAGTTCTTACTTATGAGAACATATGATGCTTGGTTTTCCATTCCTGAGTTACTTAGAATGATGGTCTCCAATTCCATCCAGGTTGTTGCAAATGCCATTACTTCATTCCTTTTTATGACTGAGTAGTATTCCATGGTATATACACACCACGATTTCTTTATCCACTCATTGATTATCATGCCCTATTCTTGATCCTTCTAGATTGCTCCTTGGCTGTGAAATAGTGGGCAAGTTACCAATCACAGTGAGCCCATTTCCTCATCTTTAAGATGAAGATAAGTCCTACCTATGTGTTCAGGATTAAATAACACTACATCTAAAACCATGAGTTTGGCCTTCATTTTGCATATCCCAGGGATTAATTAAGGAATTTAAGCAGAAGAACATGATGAGAGTAGTACTTTAGAAAGGCTAAGGACAGTAGTGGGGATGGGTCCAAAGGGAGCAAAACCAGAGGTGAGGAATGAATGGAGAGTGGCAATGGAAACAGACAGAAATAAATTGAACCAGAGAAAATTAAGAAACATAATCAAAGAACTTGGTCCCTAATTAGAAGTGGAAGGTGAAAGAGAAAGGACTTATCAGAAAGCAAGTTTTAAAGAAAGGCCCTGACACCTTCAGGAACAAAAACTGATCCTAACAAGTTCTTAACATTTTCTGCTTCTGAATGAAACTATTGTTCATGATTTGAAAATGAATTTACTTTCTACAAACAGACAAAAGTGGGTTGAGATCAAGTCTTATGAACTAAGAAATTAAACTGTGAAATACCATTTAGGATTAAAAGTGAGCAGATGATCAGTAATGTTGCTTCTAATCATGTGCTAAAGGCAATTTTCCAAAGGAAAATGGCTCCAGGGGTTAGAATAAGTGTCGCAGGCAGGAATCATATGTAACTATCAATCTTTTGCTTTTAAACCTTGTAATTCATCGTCAAACGGGAAGCACAGTTTCATAAAAATCCTAACAAGCCAGGTGTGGTGCCTCACGCCTGTAATCCCAGCACTTTGGGAGGCCAAGGAGAGTGGATTAGTTGAGGCCAGGAGTTTGAGACCAGCCTGGCCAACATGGTGAAACCCCATCTCTACTAAAAATACAAAAAATTAGCCAAGAGTGGTGGTAGGTGCCTGTAATCCCAGCTACTTAGGAGGCTGAGGCAGGAGAGTTGCTTGAACCTGGGAGGCAGAGGCTGCAGTGAGCCAAGATCGTGCCACTGCGCTCCAGCCTGGGCAAAAGAGTGAGACCCTGTCACATACACAAAAAGAATCCTAATAAGCCATCAAGAGATCTGAGCTCTATATACCCTCTTGATGTATTACCTTAGGCAAATTACCTAATTATTTAGTACTGTTACGCATGTGTAGGACTGGAGCAACAGAATACCCTTCCTATCTCCTTGAAGAGTGGTGTTCACATTAAATTTGTATAAGAATTAGGAAAAACTGGAAGTCTTAATACTGTTCTTTAGCAGAATGCATATGTAGATAGAAATTTCAAATGCAGACAGAAATTTGATTCATCATGCATTACAATTACTGAATTGTGACTATATGCTATATGGGTTAACAAGTTTTAAATAGCAGGACTACATTTTACATTTAAGATGTATAAATACATTTTGGCATATCAGAAAAACAAAACAAAATGTTATCAAAAGCAGATACTGAACCACTATCTTTATGATTTCAAGGCTTGAGATGAGAATTTCTGGATATTCACGTATCGAAAAGATGGGAAGAACCAAGATATAAAGATAACTTCAGTCTGTACTAAATTACCAGAAGACAAGCTGTTTCCCATTCTACAGGTGTTCCTTCTATGATGTTGTCCAGTGTCAATTTTCCATGACGTGGTTCTTACAGTTCATCCTAAGAGTTATTACTGCAGATTACATTTTCCCTCAACCACTTAATGAGGTATTTAAAACCAAGCCAGTACGTTTAAGACAAAGCCTTTAGATTCTCTGTCCCTCACATCCCAAGCAATAAGCCCAGGAACAATGGATGTGACTGGTGCAGACAGCCCTGCACAAGAGATGGAGACACATAATCTCTACACACTGCCAAGAAAAGTAACCAGTGTCCCAACGGTACTTTCAAGACCTTATGTGTCCTTTCTCTATCCTCCTGCAGCTAAGACAGTTGGATCGAATCAATTAAAGGGAAGTCGGGCATGCTGGCTCTTTGTAATCCCAGCACTTTGGGATGGCGAGGCAGGTGAATCGCCTGAGGTCAGGAGTTCGAGACGAGCCTGGCCAACATGGCGAAACCACATCTCTACTAAAAATACAAAAAAAAAATTAGCTGGGTGTAGTGGCAGGCGCCTGTAATCCTAGCTACTTGGGAGGCTGAGGCAGGAGAATCACTTGAACCTGGGAGGCAGAGGTTGCAGTGTGCTGAGATTACGCCATTGCTCTCCAGCCTGGGCGACAAGAGTGGGACTCCATCTCAAAAAAAAAAAAAAAAAAGAAAAGAAAAAGTTACCTAGGTGTGGTGGTGTGCACCTGCAATCCCAGCTACTCGGGAGGCTGAGGCAGAATTGCTTGAACTCCGGAGGCAGAGGTTGCAGAGCCAAGATCACATCATTGCATTCCAGCCTGGGCAACAAGAGCAAAACTGTCTCAAAAAATAAAAAATAAATAAAATAAATGAAAGGGCACTTTACTCATTCTCAGTGATTGCCACATTATCATGCTAATGGAGACGTTCAGTCCATGACACTGAATTCTCAGGTGTTTGCACTGAAGAATTACAACCTAGAGTTCCTCTAGTTAATTCTAAGGTAATTACACAGTTGCCTTTGTATGGATCGCTTTGTATGTTAAGCCCCACTGTGGCCCCCAGAACCTCTGCCTTCAACTCATTTCCAAAACAACAAAGCAGGCCCTGGTCAGGTTTATGAACAGAGTATCCTCAACTATATTCATTCTTCCACTTCTCAACTCCACAACACTTCTTTAATAGCAGTGTTTTTAAATTAATGTAACTTCTTAGGGTACGTGTTACGGCCTTGAATTTGAATCTCAGCTCTGCTCCCTACTGTTATTTGAGCCAGAACTTCACTCCTTCGGACCTTGGTTTTCTTGTATCTAAAAGGGGATACAGCCACTTGATTTTAGTGGGATGCATTTGGAATCAAATGAGATGAACAAATACAAGGCAGTGTCCTATGAAACATGGAGTGTGTAGTCTATCTCTCATGCCAGTATTGAAACCCAATGGGTACCCTTTCCCTTAGCAGCTGAGGTTAGCTGGAGAGGCCAGAATTCCTGCTTTCACACCCCTCTCAGGGGAATGTTTGATACCACATCTGGCTGTGTAATAGTATCTCAGGTACAGTTAGGAGCAGGCACAAGGGCAAGGTGCTGAATCACCATAATATCAATGAATCTGTTATCTGATCAATCACTGGTAGGAGGTAGAGTACAGCAGATACATTCAGTGCTGGAGCCGCAAAGTGCTTTTCTCCAACAGTTTTCAGGCTCCCATGGCTTTTTGTTCACTTCCATTGTCCTCTCATCCATAAACCTCCCATGTCTGACCTCCAGACGTCTTCTACCCACAATCCTCCCTACCCTTCTAAGGTAACAGTGAGTGATTCCAACCCAGTATCTAACCTGACATCTAATGCTCACCTGGCAGCTGAAGCACCAAGAGCGGAGAGCATGGCTGGAAACCATACACGGGGCCCAGATAGACTTATAAGTTGTACCTCTCCACCATGACACAGGTTGAAGAACTGTACCCACTTCCTTTAGCATTAAGAATGCTGGGGCAGGTCAGGACAACAAACAAAGAAACTCAAGAGACTGTGACACCTGTTCAAGCAAAGCTATGCTTAACAGATACATCTGTGGTTTCAAGAAGGATAAGCAAAAAGGGTAGCCATGGGAAGGAAGAAGAAAAAGAAAGCAGCCATAAAACACTTCCAAAAGGAGGTCATTTTCCCTGGTGTGAAATGCACAGATAATTTAATGTAATTTACTTTAAGATTTTCCCCTCTCAGGGTCTGATTTCAGAAAATCAAATTACAAAGTCATCATCACATCCTAGATTTATTACAACTGACCTGCAGGCAAAAGGATAGAACTATTACATAAACACTTCGATTCCATGTATATATCTTAAATAGAGGAGGAATTCAAACAAGAATACAGGATAAAATATTCCAAAGCTCCAAGAAGCAGTTATGTTACTGAGCTCCATTTTTTACAGACAAATAAGGCAATATCCCTGCACATTAGCTTTTTGATAATTTTTATACATTTTTCTATGGTACAAGAGAAAAATAACCAGAGCTCACAATGTACAGTTCTTACACTATTTTCACAGTTTGTGAACACTATACACCCTTTTGTTTTAATAAAGATACATTGTAATAAACTCCTTGCCCTTAAGTTTATAGTTTATAATAATCTATGATTAATACACTAAAATTGCCTTCTTATGTGGTCATCCACACAATAGAACGGTCAGATTAGCTCCTGGACAGTCAGAATTGCTTTTATCTCCATTTGCATAATGGCAAAGTGACCCTATGCTGAGCCAGATGGGAAGTTGACAGCAGAGAAACAGATTCCTCTTGAGTCCCCGGGAGCAATGGAGGATGATGGCTTGCTGTGGTCGAAGGCAGACATAGAGCAATGTCTCCTTTCAGAACAGTGGGAAGTCTAAAGTTTAGGATACCGTGGGGGAGAAGATAGGGAAATGAGGCAAGTAGATCAAAGAGATAATCACTTTTGAATTCTGCAATTTACAGGGATGTGACTTTAAACAGCACCATTCTCCCTTTATTGTTTGACAGTATTTATGACTGTCACTCTGAGAGGAGACACAGCAATACGTGCCACGATTTGGTTCTGTAATGGCATCACCTGCATCTCAGGCCATGACTGTTTTATATTCCAGTGTGCTTGAACCACTCACAGTGCTGCTTCACTGTCATACAAAGCCTAAGGTTCAGTGCCAGGGAGGCCCAAGCAAAACCTAATGAGAACCTGGCTAATGGGTAAGTGAAGAAGCACAAGATACTTAAATGGCCTCTTGTAACAGTGCTGAGGGTTTTGTTTTGCTTTTTGTATTTTTTTCCAGTAGAATTCCAATGCCAAGAAATGGTGATGGACTACGAGAGGTTCTAGCAGGTGATGAACGTAAAGGCTGCCGTTTCGGATCCTCATCTGGTCCAATGTGTCTCTAGAAAAGATGCCTCTTTATCACCTACCACATCGGCTGGGCCCCACTATTCTTAGCCTTTTAAACACTAGCGAATATGAGAGATTTGGGGCTAAAAATCCTTGGTAAGGAACATCCCTGCTAACTGTAAAGGTTTTTTGATATAGAAAAAAGGCAAAATATTGGATTAAGCGCAAGTCACATAGCGACAATAGACCACAGGGGAAGGGAAAGAGATTCGGAAACTGAAGACCTGGACCAGTGATGGCAAGAAGCAAACAACTGAGATTTGGTCTTTTGCTGCCTACTAGAAATCTTTATCTAATCAATCAAGGCACATTGCTACTAGCTACTTCTCCCTGTTAGTGAGTTATGATGGCTAAAGTATCAGGCTTGGGACCAAGGGGAAATATATAGCTGCTACAAGTTGTTCCAGATAAAATACTAGAATTAAAAACATCTGTAAACTTTGCCTTCTGTACTGTTTTCTTCTTTCAGTCCTGGTGGTTTGTGGCAGGTGGAACATCAAGTTGGCAGCACACCGAATTCTGAGAATGAAAAATTCTTAGGATCAGCACCTTCTTTGACAAGTGGCAGACTCCTGAGTCTTCCCATTGAAAAATAGGACTGGTAAAGGAGAAAAGAACACATTCTGTCCTGTCTCTATATTTTAATGTTCACCTCTTTGAACGCAACATGGTTTTTGGTAAAGATAAATTCATTCTAATTTAACATGATATTTCAAACAGGAAATTTGGCTGAGCACATCGATCCCCAAACATCAACTGTAACTGTAAAGCAACAGAATATCACATCAGTAATCTATTGCACTTGGTGAAGAAAGTAAATTCCTCCTTTGTCTCCCAGCTCCAGAAGGCAATGTGTCTCGTTGGCTGTGCAAGCTCTTCTCACTCAAGCCCGAGTTTCTATGTTCAGACATAGTACATTCATCACTGTGTCCTTCCAGGATTTGGAAGTCTGACAAAACACCATTCCAGTAGCTGCATCTCCAGGTTTTGAGTCTAGAAATGAATTTAAGATGTGATCTAATCACAGTCAACAACTTGATCGTACTGACTTCCACATTTCATGAATATGTTCATCACAAAAGAGCAGGATGAGGTCTCTCTGACCAGCACTAACACTGTGTGATCAATCAGGTATTACAAGGATGCACGTTCTAGGTGACAGGAGTATACAGACATGATGGAAACGAACACCAATCTTATTGCACATGGTGTCTGGGCGAGCAATAAAAACACTGTGATACGGGATGAAAATTCTTTACGTCTTGCTTCCTCTCAGCCCTTTTTTCTAGAGTCTGATGTAGCAGCGATATCAATCGACATACATGGGAGAGCTGGGAGTAGCTGGCATTTGATCCAGGATTTTACAAACATAGCATGCGACCTCAACGGCACGTTCTTCATACATCAAAATAAAGGGATGTTTCTGCAAGAAAATTGAAAACAAAAAAGTCAAAAGTTTGTATGACAGCCCAAACTGAACATTTTCCAATTTCTATAGAACATAGAACTCCAGGCTCCCAACCACACATAGCTATGAAATACCGCAACACTACAAGTTCAGAGAGGCGAGTACAGCCTTTATTCCATGCAGATATGCTAATGGGCATGGGCATGCCTAGAGAGAGGATACGTGGTAATGATCTGAAGGTGCCACCTTGGCAGTGAGGTCTGGAAACTCATCTGTATACCAGGGAGTGTTTGTTGAGGAAGACAGCCAAGTTGTCACTCAGCACAAAACATAGCTGGAGCCTCCACCACACCATCTAAGAGCTAAGAAGAATGACGCAAATGCCAGTCACTATTCCTCTTGGGACACCAATATAAATCTCAACCTCCATTTCTCCTATATACAACAGGAGGACCTTTTTACAAAAAGGTCGCAATCCTTTTGACCTCTTCTTTTGACCTTTTAACAAAAAGGCTGTAATTCTTTTGACCAAAAGAGGCCCAAGAGAAATTTGCCCCAGGAGCTTCTTCCCTGTACTCTCCAGAGCCAGGGTCCCAGTATCTGCTTCACTAACCCACCTTTTAAAACTCCATCTCTAGCAACAGTTTTCTTTTACAGACTAAGTATGTTGACTAGATATTTTTACAGTCATTGGTGGACTGTGATATAAGTTTGTCACAACATCCTTGAAGAGCTAGTAGTTAAATGTGACAAACAAATGGATCTTTTCTTAAAATATTCCCACATTATTAGATCACAACACTTTCTCCCTGCCCCACCAATGCCATACCCAGTAGACTGCTTAAAACACCCAAGTTCCATGGGATGAATGAGAACTTTCAAAGAAATGGGAATAGGCTATATGACGTAAATTTGCATGAATTTTATAAAGGCAGAATAAACACAAATTTTCACTAATTTTTTTCTTATGGCTGCATCCCATATAAATAGACTATGCAGTGGAAAATGGCTTCTTAAAGTCAGAATTCTTTGGGGGTAATTTTTATAACATGTTAAGACCAAAATTTTCCATGAGAATTTAGCTAGTATTAGTAGAAAAATTATAACTGCAAATTTTCTCTTTCCAAATCTTTGTGTAAAAACATTAACAAAAAACACTCAATAAATTTGAGATGTTTGTTTATGACAGAGAGGCCCACTGCTTGCTTAGTGAACCAGCATGTTAAGAGAGTTCCGGGGTTAGGATGTACCTACAATCCCCACAGTCCCACACTCACCAGAAGCTCTTTATACTTTGGCCTTTTGGATTCATCCTTCGTAAGGCTAAAATAACATAAAAATAACATTATTAAAATGTAGATTCATTTGCCTAAGTATTTTTCTTTTCACAGATGAAATATTACAAATAATGAAATAGTTCTTTCCTTCAGATCCAAAGTAACAACGCAGACAGCCTGCTAAACACAGTAAAAGCACATACAAAAAATTGTGAGTCTATAATCTGAAGATTTATCTCTAGGATAGTCAGTGTAGGATGATTAGTTAAAAATTAGAAAAAATATTAATTCTTGAAAATTGACTAAATTATGGCATAGCTACACAGAATACTACAGTTAAATATATAAATGTTTTATAAGTATAAAATTATTTGTGTACATATATGCTTTTCTAAATGTAAATAAATAAGTAGACAGATATTTATGCAGATACTACCCAAGAGAAACCAGCAATCAAGTAATTCTGGGAGATAAATTACATATACATTTTTATCAATTTATCCTTAAGTTTTAAAAAAGTTTATACTCTGTATCTCAATATGTTCTTTGGTCCAAAAGTTTAAAACAATATAACTTCACTGAAGACTACATCAGTATATAAAAATGTCTGCTCTGTTGACATTTTCTCCTTGAATTCTACCTTGCCTAATTAAAGCTGCCAAAAGTATTTTCATTTTGTTTATATTTACCTCATCTATCTTGGCCCATATCTTAATCACCATTCCCTTCCAACCTCAATTAATATTTTACTATCAAACATGAATTAATATGGGTAACATAGTTCACCTCTTTCTAAACTCATTGCTGTTTTCCATATCCCACACCTTCTGTAACAGATACTGCAATGTGCTATGTAGATTCCCTCTTTAAGAAGGAAGGACTTATTCTTCCACTGTGGGGCAAGCCGCCAGCAGACAACCCTTTACTATCGGCCTCTTCAGGATTACCACAGCTAAAGACAGCCACCTTAGCCCTCCTGGGACAGTCCATCTCTAATGACTGATCCACAAAAGTGAATAAAAATCCAAGACCCTCATTCCAAGGCAGGTCAACACAGAGTTGGCTGAGGCCTTCAATGACATGGCACTGCAACTGAACTTCTTCTGCCCAATCTCGTTTCCTTCTCATTGGTAGTGTTGATCCCAAGATCACTACCTAGTCAACTTCCTACACTCTTATCTCTGTCTCAAAAGCCTGCTTTCCAGGCATCCAACCTGTGACATCCTTCTTCTGGGTTAACTTCTCTTCTTGGTCAAGTACAGATGGCCCTTGAGCAACACAGATTTCAACTGTACAAATCCACTTATACATGGATTTTTCTTCTGCCTCTGCCACCCGAGATAGCAAGACCAACTCCTCCTCTTCCTCAGTCTATTCAATGTGAAGACAAGGATGAAGATCTTTATGATGATCCACTTCCACTTCATAAATAATATATTTTCTCTTCCTTATGATTTTCTTAATAACATTTTCTTTTCTCTAGCTTACTTCATTGTAATAATACAGTATATAATACATATACAAAATATATGTTAACTATGTTATCAGTAAGGCTTCTGGTTGACAGTAGGCTATTTGTTAGTAGTCAAGTTTTGGGGTAATCAAAAGTTATATGCGGATTTTTGACTGTACAGGGGGTCAGCATCCCTAACCTCCACACCATTCAAGGATCAAAGCAGTCTATAAATTGTAAGTGCTCAGTCTTCCCATTCCTAAAACTGTATTTCTTCCTTACTGTGAATATTTGAGTGTCTGAGTCTAAAACTTTAGGACCAGGCTGACAATTATTTTCCCTCAGCACTCTGGTGCTGTGACTCCACTTTTTCCTGCAACTATTGTGGCTGGGAACAAATCTGCTGTTAGTCTTATTATCAATCCTTAACAGATAATCTGTTTTCTCTTCCTGATATTGCTCGGTAATTTTGCTTCAATACATAAATGATGATAAACAAAGGTATAAATTTAAAGGTAAATTTAAATATAAATTTAAAAGGTAAATTTATACCTTTGTTTATCATTTATGCACTGAAGCAAAACTACAGAATATCAATTAAAATTTACTTTTAAATTTATATTTAAATTTACCTTTAAGCTTATACCTTTGTTTATCCTACATGATAAAGAGACTTCACTTTCAATCTGAAAACCTATACTAAATCAGTTCTCAAATGTTTTCTTTCCCCTATGATCTCTGTAAACATTGCTTCTCCACTTTCAGAGTTGCCTTCTTTATTTCCATTACATGCATCTTAGAACCTCTAACTCTGCAATCTGTTCTGATTCTTCACTGCTTTTCATATAATCTGTGCCATGCTGGGGGAACGTCTCAGCTCCTATTTCCCTAATTTTGTCTTCAATTATTTCCAGTCTAGAGAACATCAAGTCTGTTGTGTCTTTTATATCAACAGCTATGATTTTTCCATTTCCAAGACTTCTATTTCCAACCACTTTATTTCTTCCTCAGTTTTAATTGAATTTATACCTTTATTTCCTTGAGCATCCTAAATATACTGATTTTCTTTTACAGCATATTTCAGACAATTTCATAAATCTATTTCAACTTAAAGTAAGTTTCTGTTCCATTTTGTTAAATGCTTTCTTAGCATTACACTTCAGTATTCAAGAATTATGATTTGCAGACTCATTTTGAAATAACATGTTTACCCTCCATGCATATCCATTCATTTGTTCAACATATGTCTGAGTGCCCCACTAATCACTATGAACTGAACTGGGAGCCAGGGATACACACATAGAGCAGTTTTACAGTTGCCTCTATTTCACAGGGCCACCAGTATCAAACAGGGTCCTGTAATGGACCTTTCAAGTTCCACTCCTATGTTGGTATTAGGACAATTACAGTTCCAGTCCTCTGGTTGCAAAACCAGTATCTAAAGCCTTGTCATTGTGTAGTACCATAGCTTGCTTAAAGCTGTGGCCCAGGAAGTAACTGATATCATTTTTTTCATTCTCCAGAATGAAAAATGACCTGGAATACAGCAAGTCCATGGCATCAGATCTACACAGCATTCTGTCAGTATTTTTGTTGCATTTTTTCACCCACACAGAGGTTTGCTTTCTTTGTAAAGCTGCCATACCTTTCTGGTTTTGTGTTTTTCTATTTCATCTACTGGAGCAGAAAATTATGTCAGTGTATAAACTTATGATGCTATTTGGGTTGAAATCTTAAACTATTAACATTGACTGTCTTCTTTTTCTGAATTACAGCTGACACTAATAATGTTATCAATAATTATATTAGCTCCCCTTAGACTATCTAATAAGGTAGCCGTTAGCAAACTTAATTCCAATAAAAAATGCATTTCCTTAGTTACATTAGCCACATTTCAAATGCCAGCAGCTACCACACTAGACAGAGCAGATTATAGGACATTTCCAGCATCTCAAAAAGTTTTATTGGGAGAGCTTCAGCTCTGTCTTCTAGTTCATTAATCTCTCTTCAATGATATCTAATCTGTTGAATGCAGCTATTGTTTTAATTTATGCTTTTTATTTCTAGAAGTTCTATTTGGTTCTTTATAAATGTGTTCCCTGCTTATATTTCTAAGCTGCCTCTTTTTCTTTAAACTTATTTTTTGTTTCCTTTCATTCCAATATTTGAAGCCTTTGCAGATCTATTCCTACTATCCATTGTTTCTGATTCTCATTTCTTTTGTGAGTGTTGAGATTTTTTTGTGGACTACATATTCCACTTGACTTTATTTTTTGGAATCATTTAGTCCTAGGCTGAATGATTTGCTTTTGCTTCTGCCCATCAACTGGGGGCAAGAGGAGCATATCTTTCCAACCAGGGACTCTGAAAAGTAATTTTTCTTAAAATTAAATTCTCTAAGTATTTTTACCATATTCAATATGAATTTAGATGGCAAATCTACATTTGCTTGGGTTATCCTTTAATTTACTTTGACTCTTCCTTCTCTCCCATAATCTCCCTCCCTGAATTTCAGTCAACTTCAGAGCTCCATGGATTCCTCAGTTTTGCACCAACTCTTTTACATTTTAAGAGGGACTTTAGGTGGGGCACGATGGTTCACCCCTGTAATGCCAGAACTTTGGGAGGCTGAGGCAGGCGGATCACCTGAGGTCAGGAGTTCGAGACTAGCCTGGCCAACGTGGCAAAACCCTGTCTGTACTAAAAATACAAAAATTAGCTGGGAGTGGTGGTGCGTGCCTGTAGTCCCAGCTACTCAGGAGGCTGAGACAGGAGAATCACTTGAACCTGGGAGGTGGAGGCTGCAGTGAGCCAAGATCATGCCACTGCACTCCAGCCTGTGCGACAGAGCCAGACTCTGTCCTAAATAAATAAATGGCACTTTAAAATGCTTATCCAGGCCAGGTACAGTGGCTCACGCCACTGTAATCCCAATACTCCGGGAAGCCGAGGCAGGAGGATCGCTTAAGCCTAGGAGTTTAAGACCAACCAGGGTAATACAGTGAAATCCAGTCTCTACAAAAATTTTTTTAAGAAATTAGCCAGGTGGGCCAGGCGCAGTGGCTCGCGCCTGTAATCCCAACACTTTGGGAGGCCGAGGCAGGCGGATCACCTGAGGTCAAGAGCTGACCAACCTGACCAACATGGAGAAACCCCAACTCTACTAAAAATACAAAATTAGCCAGGTGTGGTGGTGCATGCCTGTAATCCAGCTACTCTGGAGGCTGAGGCAGGAGAATCACTTGAAACCGGGAGGTTGAGGCTGCGGTGAGCCGAGATCATGCCATTGCACTCCAGCCTGGGCAACAAGAGCAAAAGTCCGTCTCAAAACAAAAAAGCAAAAAACAACAAAAAAACAAAAATTAGCCAGGTGTAGTGGCACATTCCTGTAGTCCCAGCTACTCGGGGGGCTGAGATGGGAGGATCGCTTGAGCCTGGGAAGTTGAGGTTGCAGTAAGCTGCAATCATGCCACTGCACTCCAGTCTGGGTGACAGAGTGAGTGAGACCCTATCTCAAAATAAATAAAATAAAAAGCTTATCCAGCATTTTAGTAGTTTCAGTGCAAGTGTTGTCCAAGATATCTAATGCACCAAAGTAATGTGAAGTAACCACATTCCTCCTGTTATAGCTGTTTCTCTGCTCTTCAGGTATTGCTGACTTGGTGTTTTGTGTACATTTGTGTGCATGTGTTTTAATTGAAAACTTGTCAAGTCTTATCTTTTCTCAGAACACATCTAGATGTGGCTTCCCTCTACTCTCTTGTTTAATTTGGTCTGGTATTTTAATCTAAGAACTTGAGTTATTCTTCAAGTAGAAGGAATTTTAATTTTAATTCTTTGTCTACAATCAGCTAAATAGAATATTTTGGATTTTTCTTCTCTCTTACCATTTACCTCATGTTCATCTTTTTAGCCCTTTATTCTTAAAGATTAACTAAACGGTGTTACTTACAGATCTGGTTAACCTGCAATACTCAATCTGCTGTGTGCCACCATTTTCCCCCATTCAGTTCAGGAATCATGTTTACTATCTGAAGATAACGTTTCTGGAATTCAAATTATTCCCTCCTTACAATTTTTTACCTTGTTTTTTTTTCTGTGACATTTTAAAGGAAATATTTGTTTAGATTTCTTAGGTACAATTCTCCGAATCACTGAAAGTTTTCATCTGTTAGTGATTTTTCTTTATCACAGTTAATCTCAGCTATGGATTCAGGTTAACTGTGAGAAACAGGTGGAGAGCCATCATTGCAGTATCATCACCTAGGTGGAGAGCCATCATTGCAGTATCATCACCTAGGTGGAGAGCCATCACTGCAGCATCATCACCTACTATAGGGATTTAATTTTTGCATTTGCTCTAACAGCATGCACTGTGCTCCCGCCCTCTAACCAACACAGGCGTTGTTGTTAGAAGTTATTTCAGCAAAGCTTGAGCTTTTCTTTACAGGTCTTGCTGCTAAGAGAAAGGCAGGAGTAGATACTACTACACTGTCCCAGCTGCCTGTGAGATCTAGCACAGAAGGCATTTCCTCAAGACATTTCAGGATCGAGCTTTACTGCCTAATTAGTTGCACAATTAGGCAGTCCCACAAGTTGCCTCTTCTTCCAGGTCTGCTGCCCAAGCTACAGAGTTGTATATGGGTCTTATATCGTCCTAGTGACTTTTTATATTCCCCTCTGCACACGATAAATTTTGGATTAGGCAATCCATCCCTGAATTCAGTCTTATCCCCATCCAGAGTTTCACAAAAATTCCTCAAGAATAACATTTTTTGTTTTTTCTTCCCCCAGGACAAATAAAGAATTTTTCCCCTAAAAAAAATTCCAATGGTGATTTCAATAGATAGTTAAATTGGGAAACAGTTTAAAATATGGGCTGAGATCTGAGGAGAGCAAAATCACTTGGTGACCACTGAACAGGCCCTAGAGACAAAAATTCCTTATCTGAGGAATGCAGAAGGAGCAAAAACCACCCGATGACTATCCAACAGGCAATCTAGAAGCAAAATTCCTTATCTGGGGAAAATCAGAAGTAATTAAACTTCCCAGCCTGGCGCAGTGGCTCACGCCTGTAATCCCAGCACTCTGGGAGGCTGAAGCGGGCGGATTACTTGAGGTCAGCAGTTCAAGACCAGCCTGGCCAGTGTGGTGAAACCCCATCTCTATTAAACATACATAAATTAGCCAGGCATGGTGGCATGAGCCTGTAGTCCCAGCTACTTAGGAGGCTGAGGCAGGAGAATCGCTTGAACCTGTGAGGCAGAGGTTGCAGTGAGCTGAGATCGCGCCACTACACTCCAGCCTGGGCGACAGAGCAAGGCTCCATATTAAAAACAACAACAACAACAACAACAACAAAACCCAAGAAGTAATCAGACTTCCCTATTATCTAAAGCAGGCATTGGTTCCAGATTTTTTCCCCAAAAAAACTTTGTAAGTAACTAGAATTTCTATACATCTCCAGAATGCCATGTCGAAATTCACTGTGCAACACTTGCTGACATTAAGGAACCAAAATTACTACAAATGTAATCATTTATTGTTACCTACATGGCTAATATGGTCCAAATTATCCTCAAGCTTTAAGGTCCATAAATACCCCTAAGGAAAAATCCACTGTGGCACGCTCAGCACCCTTCTGCACTCTTCTGCAGCATACTTTCTTTCTAATAAACTTTCCTTTTTCAAACCTATACTGTTGTCTGTAAATTCTTTTTATCAACCCACGAGTCGACCATTTCCCAATGCTGAGCGCTCAGACACCTCAGTCGGCAAGGTCTTCCTTTTGAACCATTAAGTCTTATCCTTTTTTTTTTTTCCTTAGGAAAACTTTTAATCGAAGCAGACATACAGAAAACACAACTCCTAAGTGCAGAACTAAAAAGTAACAATATTCTGACTTCCAATACCTTATATTGTTTGCTTTTAACTTTCATATAGAAATAGAACCATACATACTGCTTTCTGTCTTCTTTCACTCAACATCATTCGTGAGATTTACTGAAGTTGCTGAGTGAAGCAATGGTTCTATCTTCTCTGATGCTATATACTGCTGTATACATAATGCTACAATTTATTATCTGTTCTACTGTGGAGAGAGTTTCTAATTGTAGGTTATAAATGTGCTTTTCCGGACATTCTTACATATGTCTTTTAGTGTATTTATGTCCACACTTTTGTTGGGTATATAGTCAGAACTTGAATTGCTGAACCATGGTGTATACATCAACCATATTAGATCAGCTATACTGGATACTGCTTGTTTTTCAAAGGAACTGTACTAATTTATACTCCTACAAGTTATGTATGAGACTTCCAGTTGCTTCAGATCCTCACCAATATTTGGTACTGTCAGTATTTTAAACTGTGGTCATTCTGGTAATTATAGTGGTATTTCACTGTAGTTCTGACCTGCATGTCTCCTGATTACTAATAATGCAGAATGAATGCAGTAAATTGAATATGTTTACTGGCCTCTTGAATATCATCTTTAAAGTGCCTTTCAAGTATTTTGCTATTTTTGGTTGTTATTTTTCATAAGTGTTTTACATTTTTAAGTATTCTTTACATATTCTGTGTAAAAGTCCTTCGTCGAATATAAGTATGAAAAATATCTCCTTCTACTGTGTGGCTTGGCATGTCATTCAGTGCTGTCTTTTAATCAATGGAAGTTCTTAATTTTAATGAAATCCATTTTTTTTTAATCAATCTTTCTCTTAGGTTTGGCTACTTTCTACGTTCTGTTTCAGAAATCTTTACCCAAACGTAATGAAAACATTCTCCCATATTATCCTGTATGTGCTTTTAATTTATGTAACTGAAGAAATTCAGTTTGGCAGAAACCATTCAAGGAGAGGGAAGTCATGAGAAATGTGGCTAGAGCGGGCCGGGGGCAGTGGCTCATGCCTGTAATCCCAGCGCTCTGGGAGGTCGAGGCGGGCAGATCACGAGGTCAGAAGTTCGAGATCAGCCTGGCCAACATGGTGAAAACTGTCTCTACTTAAAAAAAAAAAATTAGCTGGGTGTGGTGGCAGGTGCCTGTAATCCCAGCAGTACTCAGGAGGCTGAGGCAGAAGAATCGTTTGAACCCGGGAGGTGGAGGTTGCAGTGAGCTGCGACCACATCATTACACTCCAGCCTGGGCAACTGAGACTCCATCTCCAAAAAAACAAGAAAGAAAAAAAAAAAAAAAAAGAAATGTGACCAGAGCAATAAACTAAGTCCAGATCGTAATGGGTTCTGAAAGCCTAAATTAATTAATTTTAAGGACAAGAGGAAGTCTCTATAGAATAGTATCTCTCAGTATTTTTTTCATTATTTATCCTCCCCATCATGAAATTTAAATATGATAGATATAGTGCATATCTGTTTATATTCTATGGCCCTTTGGAGGACTAAAAACCATTATACAACCTAAGATTTTCATTTCTCCAAAATCAATTTTTGCCTCCTTAGGGTCAATATCACCCTGCTAAGAATGCATACTTTAGATAGAGAAGTAACATGATCAGATATACATCATAAAAAATACAACTCTAATAAAAAGGGGAATAATTTGGAACAAGACAATATTGGATTATAAGAAAATCAATATTGGATTATGAGAAATCTGAATGATCCAGGTTAGAGATTACAGGCAATGTCCAAGACAAAGAGTGGCAGAAAGAATGGACAAATGTGGAGAGCTAATATGAGCATATTATGAACATAAGTACACTTCAATGTAGACCTTAATGATTTGCAATGACATGGAACTATGAACCTACTCAGGGAAAACAATGGGACTCCAATGTCTAAAACTGTCACTCTATTATGGCATCAAGGGAAACAGAAATAAACATGTACAAGTACCAACACATACAGAACAAAACCAATAAAGAGATCAAGGAGTTAAAAAGAAACCCTGATGGAAGGTTCACAGGTGATCATTTTAGATATTATACCCTATGACTTACACAGATCATTTTAAGCAAATATGTCATAAAAATGAAATACATAAAATGATCACATTTATGCAATTATATAAACTATCCATACTGTGTGCAAATTAGTACAGAATTGATTGTTTTTTAAAAGGAGGAAGCAGCCAATTTGAGTCATCCTTATGTCCTTCTTCTACCTAGAAAATCTTGAAGTATTCCTCTCCCCTCTGAAAAACCAACACAAAAGTAGAATTTGGTTACAGAAGATGAAAGAGACTTAAAAACTATAGTCAAACAAATATTTTTAAATTTTTCATACAAAGGAGGGCAATGTTAGACCCTGATTTAAGTCTATAAGACCTAAAATGAGGAGAAACCGCATTCTTAGCAGGAAAAAATTATGAGAAACCAAAAGGTATTTTCAGGAATAAACAGAAGATACACAAAATGCTCTGAGGCTTTTTGTTCATAGCATGTCTTATATTTAAATCATGTTGGATAAACAAAATAAATGTCAAAAATATCCAAATGATAACACAAAAAGATTTTATTTAAAAGAGCCTAAAACAGTATAAAGCATGATTATATTACTGCCATATCTGCATATGTTTATTCTTAGGTGCTACATATACACAAACACACAACAAACTATTAAAAAGGTAGACAAACAACAACAGGTGTGGGGTTCACATCTTCCTTGGAGTAAGGTTTCAGAGAGCAAAGATATACAGTTCTACCAACTACACTTTGCGTGTGGATGTGACCCTACTACATATAACCAACTGTTTTCTATGTTATGTCAGAACAGAGATCCAACCCTGAAAGTCTGATCTGGCAAGCTCTTGATTCAGTAAATGCTTCCAGGTGATTTTGGTGCAATTGCATTGTGAGAACCACATTAGAGTAAGATGATCAGTCTCACCTAGAAGTTTAACCTGGTATTTCTTGTACCAGGTACTGGAAGTCTGGAGACAGCAGCCTCTCCACCACTCATGGCTGTTTTTCACCAATACCTGAGTAGCAGAATAAGAAGGTGATGCCTCTCCCAGCTAGCTGTAACCTTCCATACAGCCACAGTGATCCAGAGTCCCAGCTTGAAAAGTAGGGTGATGTGACCAAGGGTCCCCTTCCTCCATGTAAAGTACCAATGCTGCTAAGACCAAGTAAATCTCACTATTCTCGCCATGCGTGTTCGACCATTCATAAATCAGGTACTCACCACAAGTTGACAAAGTTGATGAAACTCGGGGAGAATTCCCTTTCCTCAGAATTACTCAGCTGCGGAGGATCTCCTTTCACGACTTGTGTTAGTTGATCAAATACACTATTCCACTTTGGATAAGGAAATCGGCCTGTGGCCAACTCATACTAAAGAGAACAAAGAGGAAAGAGCAAAATACACCAGGCATCATTTACTACTCCCCACTGGAAGGGCCACAAAAAAATCTAAACTACAAGCAAAACTCTAGTAAAGCCTTGAATTAAACACAGGTTAGCTTGGGGAGGAATCTTCAGAATCATAAAGGCTAAGTAGAAGTTATATTTAGAAATCAAAATAATATAGAGAATTCTGAATCAACCAAATTCAAGGACTTGGAATACATGGGAACACAAAACTTAAGCCTAGACAATGTCCCTACAATGCATGCTCCAGGGCAGCCTGTGGTTCTGACTTCTTTATAAGAAAGTCTGGAAGACTGGTTTTAGAACTATTTTACTATAGAATACGCACAATTTGTAGCCATCTTAGAGGAAGGCCTTGGTCCATAATCGTGGTTAGACTCCTTTTTAAGGCAAAAGAACATCCAACAAACAAAAGCCTAATCTGAGCTTGGAGGAAACAATGTGCAAATCCTGCTCTACAGCTATTCTGCAGATACTACAATTTCAACCACAACCAGATTTTACAAGTAGTGAAGAAATCAAGTCAGGGTCAAACCCTGCATCCTGAAGCCCCAATAAAGGGCTCAGGACAGTACCTCTAAGCCACACCAGAAGAGATCTGAAGAGTCTTACGTATGTCCCAATCCTATCAAGGGTCCAAAAAAAAAATATTCTCTAATAACCAGTGAATCGTATTCTCATCTATCTCCCTTTCTGTTCTGAAAAATAATGAAAACCTACCAATTAGGCCGGGCACAGTGGCTCACGCCTGTAATCCCACCACTTTGGGATGCCGAGGCGGGTGGATCAGGAGGTCAGGAGATGGACACCATCCTGTCTAACACGGTGAAACCCCATCTCTACTAAAAATACAAAAAATTAGCCGGGCGTGGTGGCAGGCGCCTGTAGTCCCAGCTATTCAGGAGGCTGAGGCAGGGGAATGGCATGAACCCAGGAGGCGGAGTTTGCAGTGAGCCGAGATTGCGCCACTGCACTCCAGCCTGGGGGACAGAGAGAGACTCCATCTCAAAAAACAAAAGAAAAGAAAACCTACAAATTTTGCTTTTTCCAAGAAACATATTTAAATCTGCACCATGGCATAATGAATCCCATTTTACATGCACTGACAGGTGACTGATACATGAGGATGAGGCTCCAAACATATTACAGAGGAAGATGGCATACAGGAAGAGAGAGAGAACTCTCAGAACACTGATTCCGTTTCCTCCCTAAAGGATGCCTCTGTCAGCTCACTGTTGTTTCTAATTACACACATGTGTGCACAAAAGTAAGCAGGCATGCATGCATACACACACAGAAAAATGTATTCCGTTAGCTGAAGTTTCTTTCTGTTAAAATTATAAATGCTTTTCAAGACATAAACCTTCCTGGTTATTCACAGAATTAGGAATAACTTCATTAGATTCCTTCTTGTGTTTTAATAATAGAAGGAAAAGTTGGCTGTATGTCATAAAATAAAGGACTTAGGATCTTAGAAATTAATTTCATACATTTCACAATTTTTATAAGACTGTCCCTATGAAAAATAAATTATGAACCAACTGTAAGTACAGAATACCTTTTAAACAACAAGGTTTAGCTAAAAGTACTAAAAGAAACTTGCTAAAAAATTTTCTGTTAAAACCTTTCACAAAATTTTCTTTCTGTAAAGAAGTACATACTTGCTTTTAAAACGTAATTGTTTAGTCATAGATAAGTATTTCTGAATTGTAAATATCCTGTGTATGCAAATAGTTGCCTCAGCTGGAAGCTCTAGGTCTTGCTGCAGTCTTTGGGACCAGTTGCCAAACCTAAAAGATGCCCGAGATCCATGTTCTCTCCTGTCTAAAGAAGAATCTCTTCTTTAGCTGGTTGGCTTCACAATGAGAAAAGATTCCAGAAGGTATTTCCTATATTTGGTCACAAAGTAAAGTAAATCAAAGTCCTCTGCAGAGGTGAGCTGTTGGCCTTCAACTCTCTATACGAAGAATTCTCTAGGCCTAGCAATATGATTCATCAAGAATAACTAACAAGGTTATGTGCTTCTGATCACAGAGAAGATCCTAGAAACATGTAATACCAATGAACAAATGAAGATTATTTAATAAGCTACAAAAAAAGCCCATTGCTCTGAACCTGTGTATTTCTGGGCTATAGAGTCTTAGGTAGCAAAAACTGAAAATGGGAGAAAATGAAAGAAGAGGATTGGCCTGCCTACCTACAGGACAGCCTCATCTAGGGATAGAAAATTCGCCTTCAATGTAGAAGCAGCTAAAGAAGCTATCCCAAATCAGAAAAACCCAGCAAGTCCTGGTAGAACAGCAAGCACAAGAAAATAAACCGAAGACTTCAAAACAAAATTTGGTAAAAAGGAAATGAGCAAAGATACTGCTAGAGACTGAATGTTTGTGTGTCCCCACCCCCCAGCAAATCCATATGTTGAAGCCTAATCCCTAATGTGATGGTATTTGGTGGTGGATCTTTGGGAAGTGATGGGGTCACGAGGGTGGAACCCTCATTAATCTAATTAGTGCCCTTGTAAGAAAGACCCCAGACAGCTCTCTTGCCTCTTCTGCCATGTGAGACTACAACAAGAAGATGGCTGTTTATGAACCAGGAAGCAAGCCCTCACTAGCCACCAAATCTGTCAGTGCCTTGATCTTGGACTTCCCAGCCTCCGAAACTGTGAGAAATTTCTGTTCTTGATAAGATTATAGCCCAGAGGTCAGCATTTGGTTGGAGCAGCCTGAACTAATACAGATATTTTAAATGAAACCAAAATTTCAATACAGTCCATAGGTAAGAAAGAAGAGTTTATATAATTGCGCTTGCTTGTTGCAAATTAAGTAGCTTTCTTATTATTCTTTCTCAGTGTTGTTCTAAGGTAGAACTTTCATTTAGAATTATCACCTAGGTAGTTCTTGTCTGATATGGTTTGGCTCTGTGTCCCCACCCAAATTTCATTTCGAATTATAATCCCTATGTGTTGAAGGAGCGGCCTGGTGGGAGGTGATTGGATCATGAGGGTGGTTTCTAATGCACCATCCCCCTAGTGCTGTCTCATGATAGAGTTCTCATGAGACCTGGTTGTTTAAAAGTGTCTGGCACCTTCCCCTTCACTCTCTCTCTCCCCTGCTCCTGTACGACCTGTGGAGCTGTGAGGCAATTAAACCTCTCTTCATAAATTACCCAGTCTCATGTAGTTCTTTACAGTAGTGTGAGAATGGACTAATATATTGTCCCTCAAAAACTGAATTACTTTCAGCTCATTCACTTGTGATTTTACTATTCAGTGAATAGAATATTGCAAGTAGAAACTATTTTCCACATATAAAAATACGTATACTTAATATACACACTATATACAGTATTACTGGACATACTACACCTTGCCTGAGATGGGAGAAGCCTATGTGCCTTCATCAATGAATTGACTGCAGGTAAGCTGGCTTGTCCTGTTCCCATTCTTAGTGCAGTTGCAGATAATAGTTGACTCCTATTATCTGTGGCCAAGAGATCCAGTTAAAACATTAAAGGGCTCTAGACACTTCACATAACTTCAAGGGAAATAATCAAGTCTGATTTGATTTTTAAAGTAAATAAATACATACTTTTTTTTTTTCAGCAACTTAAAACCATAGTGTCTGTGATTATAGTTCTTAACGAACGGGGAAGTCTGATTAAGTTTTCTTTCACTTCTAAATTTCTTATTGTTACGCTACTGTGGCAAGGTTGAATCAGCATAAACATACCAATGTGATCCCCAAACTCCAGACATCAGAGCGGACATCATATCCTTGTCGTGATGCGCTTGGGTCTATTCTTTCAGGCTGGAACATAAAGACAAGTGTAAGTTATTAATTGCCTTACACTCAAGGAATAGGCAAATGGAAGCAACAGCTGGGTAGACAGCCAAAATGCCAGTATATTCCTAGAGGAATCCATGTCTAGCGTCAGAATGGAAGTAATAGGAAGTCATCATTATCATAAAAACAAACAACAAAAAACTTAATGGCTACTTCCATAAAGAGAACACTAAGCAATTCATTTAACTATTCCCCTCAAAGACTCAAAAGCATTTACAAAGCTGAAGCTGAGGGAAGAGGGAGACAAAGGAAGAAAACTGGAAAACATAAAGAATTACAAGGTCGCCAGGTGCAGTGGCGCACGCCCGTAATCCCAGCACTTTGGGAGGCCGAAGCGGGTGGATCAGGAGGTCAGCAGATCGAGACCATCCTGGCTAACACGGTGAAACCCCATCTCTACTAAAAATACAAAAAAGTAGCTGGGCCTGGTGGCAGGTGCCTGTAGTCCCAGCTACTCAGGAGGCTGAGGCAGGAGAATGGCGTGAACCCGGGAGGCAGAGCTTGCAGTGAGCCGAGATCATGCCACTGCACTCCAGCCTGGACAACAGAGCGAGGCTCCATCTCAAAAAAAAAATTAAAAAATAAAAAGGTTTTAAAAAAAGAATTAGGTCAAATTTGGGGCAACGAGTGACAAACAAACAAAAAAGACTGTCTTCGATTTTTAAAAGACTTTGCTCGGTGGATGAGGCCATACCACAATATATTTGAGACACAAAAGCAAAACAAGAGCTAAATTTATCACAATTATTCCACCCATACTTCACAATAACGCTAAATTTATCACTACACATATGTGTAAAGATATTTGTCTGTTAGTCATTTGTAGCCAAATTAAAGCACTGCCAAGACAGTAATATATTATCCTATGTACCGCAGAAATCATTTTTAGTAATTTCTGTGAAAGAACATCTTTACATTTCCTTGAAATTAGGGACCATCTAAATGATGTGTCAGGAAAAGGGAAGAGAGAGAGAGGGTCCTGTTGGCACAGAGTTGACAATGGATCCTTCGCTAAGTCTGAGAGTAACTGCTGTTGAAAGAAATGCCCAGAGAAGCATAATAGTTGACTGTATTACATTCTCTGCCTGTGAGCATCAACTAAAGACATCTGTATATTGCTTTGAGCATGAGTACTGTGCTGCATAAAATTCACTGTAAGCTATTTACTTTGTTTTTTTTTGTTGTAAATATAAGTATTTGCCTGATAAGGTACACATTAAAATCCCAGATATTCAACCAAGAGAAAAAATACTCCATCCAACATCATCAAGATCAACATTTTCCCCAAACTAGCATGGAACATTGATTAATCCTGACCACATTCTGGGGCATAAAACACACCTTGTTTTAAAAGATGGAAAGCATGCAAAGCATGTTCTCAGATCACAAAATAAATAAATTAGAAATCAGTAACAGGAAGATATCTGCAAAGTCCTCAAATATCTGAAGATTTAACAACACACCTCTAAATGACAAATGGATCAAAAAAGTCTCAAGAAATAGTTAAAAAATTGAACTAAATGAAAATGAAATTACAACTTCCCAAAATTTGTGGGATATAGAAGTAGTGCTCAGAAGAAAATGTATAGTGTAAAATGCATACATTAGAAGAGAAGACATCTCAAATCAAACCTACTTTATAGCTTAAAGAATTAGAAAAAAAAGAACAAATGAAATACAAAGCAAGCAGGAGGAAGAACGTAAGAAAAAGTAACGTGAAGACAAGTAAAACAGGAATAGAAAAACAATAGAGAAAAGTCAAGAAAACCAACAGTACTTTGAAAAGATCAATAAAATGGACACACCTTTGGCTAGACTGACCCACAGAAAAAGAAAAGATACAAATTACTAAAATCAGAATGAAAGAGGGGCCATTACTACTGTTCTTACAGAAATAGATGAAACAGAAATATTTTCTGAAAATGAAAACCTACCAAAAAGAATATCAAAGTGTGAATAACCTTTAAACTATGTTACTTAATGAATGTTATTAAAAACCTGCCCAGAAAGAAAAGTCCACACCCAGATGGGCTCACTGGTGAACTCTTTTCAAATACGTGAGAAATAACACTGGCCTTACACAAATTTTTTTTTCAAAAAAGTGAGAGATGGTACGCTTCCCAACTCATTTCATGAGGCCAGCATAACGATTTTTGAAAACCTGACAAAGTCATTACAAGACAATTAATAGCCCTTGCACAGAAAGACACAAAAATAACAAAATATGAGCAAACCTAATCCAGCAACATACAAAGAGGTAATGTATCATGACCAAGTAGAGTTTATCTCAAGAATACAATACTAACTTAATACTTGAAAATCAATGCAATGCACCATTATTTATAGAAAGGAAGAAAATAATGTGATCATCTCAATAAATGTAGAATTAGCATCTGACAAAATGTAAAACCCACTAATAACAACAGAAATAACAACACACTAAGAGAAGAAAACATCTTCATTTCCATAAAGGGCATCTAAAATAACCAAGAGTTAACATTATACTTACTGGTGAAATATAGAACACTTTCTTTTTAATTAATATTGGGCATAAGGCAAATATGCCTACTATTATTATTACTATTCAGGATTCTACTGGAGGACCCAGCCAGTATAGAAAGGCAAGGGGGAAAACAAGCATTACCTTTATTCACAGACACAGAAAATTCCTACTGAAACTAACAGTAAAACTAAACTAGCAAGGTCACAAGATCCAATGTTAACACATGCAAAGCAGTTGTATTTCTATATAATAATAGCAAAATATTGGAAAATATTTTTAATTCCACTCCCAATAACAGTATTCTAAGACAAAAAGAAATCCGAGACAGGTCTCAATCAATTTAGAAGTTTATCTTGCCACGGTTAAGGACATGCCTGAAAGGGAAGTTTGTGCCTTTCTCCAAATATGATTTTGAGGGCTTCAATAATTAAAGAGGAAAAGCAGGCAGCAGGGGGACGAGGGAGGGTGTGGTCACATTACTGAATCCGTATGTTGCAAGAGAAAAGGAGCAAGTACGGAATAGTTGATTATGTATTCCTCTCATCCTCAGTAAGTTAGCACTTAAATAAGATAAGGTGAACGGAATAGCTACCTGTGGAGATATTTAAAACTTTATCTGTAGCTATCTGCTTAAGAACAAAAGGAAAGGCAGTTTTTTATTTACATCACTCAGCTTTCAGCTGAATTTTTTGTTTTGGCATAGTAAATTGGGGTCCCAAGTTTTTATTTTCCTTTCACAGTATCGAAAAACCATGAACTCCTTAGAAATAAATTTAAAAGGTCTTCAAAAGCTGCACACTGAAAACTACAAAACATTGCTGAGAGATGGCAAGAAGACCTAAATGAATAAAGAAACATACCACTTTCTATTCTGCAACTGTTTTAACTGCTTAAAAAAAAGGCATGTCTGTAAACATTACAAATAGTAACCATTATGTGCTTTGCAATGTTATGCAATAAAAAACACTCCTCATACATGAAGTATGCATGTCTAAAAATAGTTGTAGTCTGAATCTAATCATGAGGGAACAATCAGATATTATAAGAATGCGAGACCTTCTGAAAACACTTCCAAAACCGCCAATGTCACAGAAAACAAAAAGAATGATCAAGCCCTGTATATATTAAAATAATGTAACAATTAAAATCAATGTGGAATCTTTTTTTTTTTTTTTTTTTTGAGACGGAGTCTCGCTCTGTCACCCAGGCTGGAGTGCAGTGGCGCGATCTCGGCTCACTGCAAGCTCCGCCTCCCGGGTTCCCGCCATTCTCCTGCCTCAGCCTCCTGAGTAGCTGGTATGGAATCTTAATGTGACCCTGGATTGACAGCTAAAAGATAGTTTTTTTGACATATGGGAAATCTGAGTATGAACTATGTATTAGATAATACAGATTGAGTATTCCTCATCCAAAAAGCTTGGAACCTGAGTGTTTCGATTTTGGATTTTTTCAAATTTTGGAATATTTGCATATACATAATAATATATCTTGGGGATGGGACCCAAGTCTAAACGTGAAATTTATTTATGTTTCATATACAACTATATACATAGCCTGAAGGTAATTTTATATTATATTTTAAATAAATTTGTGCATGAAACAAAGTTTGTGTACACTGAAGCACCAAAAAGCAAAAGTGTCACTATCTCAGCCACCCAGGTAGACAATCTGTGGTTGCTGGGCATCACCATCATTCCGGACTCGGAATTTACATGCTATTAATAGGCAATCATTGTCTTACACTTGTTCACACAAATACTTAACAGTAAAAAATATGACGTATCAATACAGTGAAAAACAATGAGTTCTGGGGAACTAAGCAGCACAGTAGCATCGCCAGAATACCTGCATCAACTGTTAAACAGCAGCTACAACAAACAGCTACAAGCTTTCAACCTCCAACTACGATGCTGTGTTTTGATTAAAAGGCTATTGTACACTGTATTTTATTTTTTTAGGTGAGAAGAAACATCAGAAGCATTTGAGGGGCCAGAAGTGGGTCCTCTAGTAATGAGGAGGCATTCTGCTAGATGGCTTTGTAAAATGTTTCCTCCCTAGTCAACTGCCTCATTAACAATGGTTTTTGTCTTAGGAGTCTCTCTTCAGTTTTATAAACTGACATGATTTCTTCTTGTGTTATGAATGCATACTGCTCTAATCCTTTAATGAGTCCATTACACATTTTCATCAAGAGCATTTTTTCTTTTTTATGGGGGGGGGAATGAGGGAGCTTGTTTCCATTTTCTTTAAAACTTTTTTTAGTTTTTTTCCTTTTTATTTATATATATGTTTTTTGAGACAGAATCTTGCTCTGTTGCCCAGGCTGAAGTGTAGTGGCACAACCTCAGCTCACTGCAACTTCTGCCTCCTGGGTTCAAGCAATTCTCATGCCTCAGCCTCCTGACTAGCTGGGATTACAGGCATGTGCCACTGTGCCTGGCTAATTTTTGTATTTTTAGTAGTGATGGGGTTTCACATGTTGGCCAGGCTGGTCTTGAATTCCTGGCTTCAAGTGATCCGCCTACCTTGGCCTCCCAAAGTGCTGGGATTACAGGCATGTGCCACCGCGCCCGGCCTAATTTTTATTTTTTTTAAACTTTTACTTTAGGCCCAGGATTACACATGCAGGTTTGTTATATAGGTAAACTCATGCCACAGAGGTCTGTTGTACAGACCATTTGGTCACCCAGTTACTAAGCCTAGTACCCAATAGTTATTTTTTCTGATCCTCTCCCACCTCCCACACTCAAGTAGGCCCCAGTGTCTGTTTTGTTGCTCTTTGTGTCCATGTGTTCTCATCATTTAGCTCCCACTTAAGAGAACATGTGGTATTTGATTTTCTGTTCCTGCATTAGTTTGCTAAGTAAGTATCCTTAGATATTAATGGATGGCCTACAGCTCCATCCATGTTCCCACAAAGGACATGCTCTCATTCTTTTTTATGGCTGTAGAGTATTCCACAGTGTATATGTACCACATTTTCTTTATCCAGTCTTCCACTGATGGACATTTAGGTTGATTACATGTCTTTGCTATTGTGAATAGTGCTGCAATGAACATATGTGTGTATGTGTCTTTATGACAGAATGACTTCTATTCCTTTTGGTATATACCCATTTCCAGTAATGGAACTGCTGGGTTGAATGACAATTCTGTTTTTAGCTTTTTGAGGAATCACCACACTGCTTTCCACAATGGTTGAATTAATTTACATTTCCACCAACAGTATATAAGTATTCCCTTTTCTCCATAACCTCACCAGCATCTGTTGTTTTGACATTTTTTAACAGCCATTCTGACTGGTGTGAGATGTATCTCATTGTGGTTTTGATTTGCATTTCTCCAATAATCAGTGACATTGTGTTTTTCATATGCTTGTTGGATGCATGCATGTCTTCTTTTGAAAAGTGTCTGTTCACGTCCTTACCCACTTTTTAATGAGGTTGTTTTCTTTCTTATAAATTTAAGTTCCTTATAGATGCTGAATATTAGAACTTTGTGAGACACATAGTTATTTGTAAATATTTTCTCCCATTCTGCAGATTATCTGTTTACTCTGTTGATAGTTTCTTTTGATATGCAGAATGTGCACTTTGTCTATGGGCATTTCTTCCTCGTTGTTAACATCATCCTCATTATCACTAAATATCACATTTACCTTGATTCAGAACCATTTCAGCTATTTCATCATTAGTCAATAAATGAAAAACTGAAGCTTCATTAATTTGATAATAAAAACTTCTTTAATATCCCCTTCTTTCCGTTTACTGACAGACTCTAAAGATGTATTTTTTGCATATAAAAGGAGGTCAGATATCATTTTTTTCTCACTTTAACATATGGAATCCATCCAAGTCACTACCTTGTTCATCATCATCATCATCACTGAATAGTCACAGGCCAGAGGTTATGCCAAGCAGGCATGACTGTGTCTTAGTCACTGTTGGCCAAGTGCTGGCAACAGCATGTATGACATCCTTCATGCTAAACGCCTTCTGAAAACCTTCCACACCCACACCTCTGTTCACTGCTGCTAGCATGATGTTCAAGACAGTGTTTTTATATTTACCCTTCACTGATCTAAGGATATCCTGGTCACATGGCTGAATTAATGAAGTCGCATTTGGGTGAAAGTACATGGCATAAACATTATTTTTTATGAGAATTTCGGTTGCAGCATAAGCAGAACAGTTATCAATGGATAACAAAATCTTTCACTCTTCTTTCAGTCCAGCTTCCCTGCAATAAGCATAAGGCACTGGTACAAAATGTTTATGAAACCAATCAGAAAAGGTATCCCGAGTGATCCAGGCCTTTTGATTAGTATAATAATGGACTGGTAAGACATTCACTTCTTGAAAACAGGAAGGATGCAAGCTTTTGCCTCCTATAGATTTATACCTATACGGGCCTACTGCATTAATACATCCCGTCACAGTTTTTCTGCTCTTGGCATCCTTAAATCTTGCAGGGGCTGTCTCATCAGCTGTAGTGTCTTTCTGGGGTAATCATGCCAAAACAGTGATGTTTCATCAGCATTATACCTGTTCTGATGTTGAATTTTCATCATCAATAACCCTGGCGAATTCATCAATGAATTTCTCCACTGCTTCATGATCAGCAGATGCTTTATCACCATAAATCTTTAAAAAGTTAATGCTATGTTTTTTCTTAAATTTCTATAACCAGTCTGTTGAATCTTCACAGTTCCCTTCAATTTTCAGTTCTTCATGATAGATGTTCATTTCATGATGAGCATACCATCAAATGGCATGTGTTCACTGTGAGTCTGACAGATCCACTCTTTTAATACATTACCAAGATCTTCATTTTTAGCTATTATGTGGTGTTTTTCTATTTTTCAGTAACTTTTGTTCATCACTTTCAGCACAGAACTTCAGCAGTTTCTCCTTCTGTTTCTTCAGGTCATATATGGTGCTCATACGAACACCACACTTTTCTGTAAGACATTTCACATTTACACCATTGTCCAGTTTCTCTAACAGCTTGACTTTCTGTGCTATAAACATAAACACTTCCCCTTTATCCCCTTTAACAAACTGCTGTCTCTCTAGGGGTATCTGCAGGCCTCTTTGACATTTTCAACATTAACTTTAAGCTACTGAGCAAAAAATGAGCAAAAAAAACAAAAAAAAATACAGTGAGTAATGCAGGTAGGTCTTGGCCCCATGTGAGGTATAGTGTGGAACCTGTCATTAGCACATCTTGCCTGCATACATGCCATTTTATTACCCTTTGTAGGCATGCTTATGTGGGGAAAATCTGGGCATGTGTGGAAAAGATATATTGCAGCTAAAGGGGGCCACAAGGGTCTTTTTTTTTTTACCTTGGGAACACTGAATCAACAAGATGTGGTGCACCTGCATTTTGAATGTGACCCATCGCATAAGGTCAGGTGAATTTTCCACTTGGGTCACACTAGTGTTGGTAACGTTTCATATTTGGGAGCATTTCGGGCTTTGCATTTTTGGAATGGGGATGCTCAAAGATGACATTCTTGTTTGTTTTTTTTAGGTGTGGTAATGATATCGTGGTTATGTAGAAGAATGGTCTTTTTCTTGGGAGATATGCACTGAAGTGTTTAGAATAAAATGCATGATATCTGCAACTAACTTTCAGGTGGTTTGGCACATCCATACCCACATACAGAAATTGTCTCGTGCTGCAAAACAACATTTTGGTGAACGACAGACCACATATACAAAGGTTGTCCCATAAGGTTATAATGGAGCTGAAAAATTCCTATCTCCTAATGACACCATAGCCCTCATAACGTAGAGTGACACATTACTCGCGCTCGTGGTGATGCTGTTTTAAACAAACCTATTGCACTGCCAGTCATTTAAAAGTATAGCACATACAATTATGTACAGTACACTATACTTGATGTCCTTCTACTTATTTAAAAAAAAGTTATCAACAGCTTCTGGCAGGTCTTTCAGGAGGTATTACAAAGAAGGCATTGATATCATAGGAGATGACAGCTCCCTGCGTGTTACTGCCCCTGAGGACCTTCCAGTGGGGCAAGATGTGGATGTAGAAGACAGTGATTGATCGCGCCCATGTATAGGCCTAGAATGATGTCTTAGTTTTTAACAAAAAAGTTTAAAAAGAATAAACAAGTAAACAGAATAGCCTTACGGAATAAAGATACAAAGAAAGAAAATATTTTTGTACGGCTGTACAGTGTGTTTGTGTTTTAAGCTAAGTGTTAATACAAAAAAGTAAAAAAAATTTTTTTTAATTAAAAAGTGTATAAAGTAAAAAAGTTACAGTACACTCAGGTTAATTTATTACTGAAGAAAAAAATTTTTATAAATGTCATGTAGCCTAAGTGTACAGTGTTTATAAAGTCTACAGTAGCATCCTAGGCCTGCAAATTCACTTACCACTCACTCACTGACTCATCCAGAACAACTTCTAGTCCTGTAAGCTCCATTCATGATTAGTGCCTTATACCAGTGAACCATTCTTTATTTTTTATACCATATTTTTTTAGATTTGAATAATTTATTCTAACAAAAGTATAAAGTATGGAAAATTAGTGTATTTGAATCATTTCAGACAGTATAGCAAGTTTCACACCAGCAGATTTCAGATTTTAGCACCTTTGAAAAGAAATATTCAGAGTTACAAGTGGCAATGCAGGCTGCAGGCGACCTACAGGGATACTCATCTGACTTCAGTGCACAGTTCATGTAACAGTGCGGTCATTTGGTTTTTTTCTCTGCATTTTTAGAGTGCCACAAAACAGACTTAAAAAGAACGAGAAAAGAGTTCACTCAATTCATAGCTGGTGTTAGAAGATGAACTACCGGAGGAAGGTCACAGGCTGGACTAGGAGGTCCAATACACAGTCCAAAGGTGCCGACGATGCAGTACATGGTTTTATTCTCCCATCGCACAGTGCAGCTCCTGTCAGCAGAGCTGTCCCAGAAGCAGGAACTTGCCATGTGTAATCCAGCTCCATTCTTTTGCATAATTACACAGGTCACAATGTATTTAAGTGGTTTTCCCAGCTTGGTGAGTTGGCTTGAAGTTTGTTCTACTACATTTGTGTTCCACTGGTTCACTTTGCTGTGTTAATAAGCGTTAACCACCAATTGTGCTTTCTATAGCCTCTTTTACAATTTGCTCACTTCATCAACAACAAAAGCAGTCTCCTCCGCAGCCTGGTAGTCTTCCATCTTTCTCCGGCCCGTCACCTCTACCTCCTTTATACCATATTTTGACCGTACCTTTTCTATATTTAGACACACAAATAGTTGCTGTTGTGATATAATTACCTACAGTATTTAGTACAGTAACATGCTGTATAGGCTTGTAGTCTAGAAGCAACAGGCTGTACCATATAGCCTATGTGTGTAGTAGGCTATACCATCTAGGTTTGTGTAAGTACACTTATGATTTTGCACAACAAAATTGCCTAACAACACACTTCTCAGAACATATTCCCACGGTTAAGCAACATAAGACTGTGTACCTACATGAGGGTATGGAGTTGGGAAAATGTTTACAAGAAATCGGTTTACAGGAAAATTTATGTGTAAACTCTACATTTTATTTACTTTTTTATGTTGCACAATCTAATGAGTAATCCTAAGTCCTGTAGACTAAAGACAACTATAAATCTCAAATAAAATGATATACCTCCAATAGGTTTTGTCAATATTTGAAGAAAAGTCAAACCACTTGAAGCCTTTTAAAATTAACATTGATTGAGTTCTTGTCTATCTATAACAGGCTTTGAAAGATGAGAATGGACAGAAGAATTTCATCTGGTCCAGTAAAGATTAGAGGCCAAGAGTTTATCAGCCTTTGTGTTCCACAGATGAAGGTCAGCAAGAAAACAGAAGTCTTACATCTCCTGGGCCTGCAAAGCATATCTCTGCACAAGAATGACGAAAGTCTGTTTTAAAGAAAGTCTGAGTCTTTCTTAGAAAGCTGAATTCAAAATATTCTACTTTATCTGGGCTGCAATTGCATTTTCAAAGCCTGCTTCAATCAAATATAATTCTTAGTCAGTGTCACACAACAAAAACATTTAGTCACTGTTAGTATCGAGACAAGCCCTAAAACTGTAAATAACAATTTCAGTTCATTCTCGGGGTATCCTTAATAAATATGTAAATCACATTTCCCAAATACTCCATGTCTAATTTTTTTTATTTCTTGCCTTTGAAACTATTGTGCCATTTATCCCTAGTTATCACGATAAACAAATGATCTTCCAAACTGAGTCAAGAAATCTGCCCAGCCAGTCAACATCCACAAAACCAAAAGTTTAAAAGGTCTTACCACACAGGTTAGGTGTCTACACACACACACACACACACACACACACACCGCTTTTACATGTTCATCTGAAGAAAAAGTGATATGGGAAGATATAACAAAACCAAAAGAGGATTGAAAAATGCAGTAAGTTGAATTTGTAGTAGCACTAAGCCTATCCATTCATAAATAATCTAGAACACCTATAATATCTAGCCTGTGACTCTTACTTTTTTATTATTTATAGCACTAGGTTTGAAAACATATATATCAAGGAGGAAACCAAGAAAGAACAATTTTATTCAATTCTAAGCTTATCTTTAGTTTAAAACAGTCTACAAAGATGGAAAGAAATGCTGCTGGCAGGGAGGCCTCAAGAAACAACCACAAAACCTTATGTGTCACATTTAGTAGTGTGCTGGTCCCCAAAGAACCATGGCAACATTGAAGAAAGACATTAACACCTAGGGAAATGTCTGAAATACAGACACTACATTTTCATTCAAATACAGATCAAAATCCAGGCTGTAGGAACACTGTATGCAAATATACTGGGGTAAGATGAGTTTGATATCTATGGATGGATAGTGTACATCTGTCTCTTTGCAGGAAAAGAGGCTCCAGGTTGCAAAATACTGAAGGCCTCTACCTTTGCATTTGTTGGTGTGCTTCATCTACCCCTAAAAAAAAGGACTAACAATATTCAAAATATGCAGCTTCAGACTCTGTAATACATAGTGAATTCTGCTAATGAACTCAAGGCTTCCCATTTGTCTCACTAAGGGACGGTGGGAACTTTCTGAGAAGTTACCATCTGTTTAATGAGTTGAGTTCAATATAATGAAAAAACAATAATCAGAGAAGACCACAACTGCTAAATACCAAGTAAGAGAAATAAAGCAAGACAATGAAAACAGGAGCTGACTGGGATAATTTAGCAAAGTTTCATGGAGAGGCTAGGACCTGAGCTTGGGCCTTAGGGTAAGGGAAATATTCTAGCAGTTTCATGGTAAAACCGTATGACTAATGGCCAGCACAAAAGAGCACAGGCTCTCTGTGCAATGACTATCAAGCAAGAAGGCCTGGACTTAACACTTACTGCCATGTATGGCCTACAGCCAGCATCTCTTGTCTTGGCAATAGAGTCCACAAGCTGTCCACTGATGCCGAAGTCACAGAGCTTAATATTTCCACTTCTGTCCAGAAGAATATTGGAAGGTTTGATATCTGCAAGACATAGATATCATTCAGTATACAATTAGCTTCTTCCTAAGTTACATAAGGCTTCACTTTAAGCAAAAATATTGAAAAACCTTAGACAACATAAGTGGTCAAGTCCTTAAATTCAGATATATAAGAAGTAAAACATCTTCATTTATCACATACAATAATTATTCATGTTTTAAACATGTAGCTTTAATAACTATAATTGTGTAAATGTAACAGCAAAAGTCATTTCACAAACATTAATCTGTAAGATATAGATGGGGATTGATTTTTCTCTTAACATCTTCATATTTATAAAACACAGAAAAAACAATGGTTTTCTTCTATTGAAAATGAGAAAGGAAAACAATTTTCTGAATGCCAGTGCTTAAAAACTGAATATCAAAAAAAATTTTCACAAGAAATTTAGGCATTAAATTGTTTTCAAGAGGCTTACAAATTCATTTACTTAGTCCAGATTCATTACATAACAGTCAAAATATAAGGAATGTCAAATCCCTTTCTCATTGACAATCAAGTCACTACCAGTATGTGCCAACTAATTCTCTATCCATAGCTCAGTCCTTTTATCCATGTCCTTGTCACTATCCTGGCTCAATGAATAAAAAATAAGGTTTTAAAATATAGGATGCAGAAAACATCTAAATGTAACTCAGAAGGTGATCCACAAAAAAATTCAGTAAAGATCTCTTACCATGACCGAAACAGCTGTGGGCCTATCAAACATCCATTCCTAACCATCCATGCTTTTTTTTTTTTTTTTTTTTGAGACAAGAGTCTCGCTCTTTTTTACCCAGGCTGGAATGCAGTGGTGCAATCCCCACTCACTGCAACCTCCGCCTCCCAAGTTCAATCGATTCTTCTGCTTCAGCCTCCCAAGTAGCTGGGATTACAGGCATGCGCCACCACACCTGGCTAATTTTTGTATTTTTAGTAGAGATGGGGTTTCACCATGTTGGCTAGGCTGGTCTCGAACTTCTGACCTCAAGTGATCCAGCTGCCTTGGTCTCCAAAGTGCTGGGATTACAGGTGTCAGCCACCACACCCAGCCCCATCCATACTTTCTAACAGAACCTGTGTTTTATTGAAGTATCTCTTCTCATCAACATCCACACCTCGAAAACCTGGCTGTTGGCTGGTATAAGTTTTATAAGGGTAGTCTCATGCTTCTTGATAGTAGCTGGTTTAAGGGCATGAGGCACTTCTGGTGAATGAGCCAAGAAAAGGTATTAGAGACGTGGGAAAAGTTTCCATACTCCCTACAGAGCTGCACAGCACGAGAGCACCTCTTCTTCACGAGGCAGCCACATATAGACATGATAGTGGGAACTGCTCTAGTTGTTACTACCCTGAGGACAGAGTTAACACATGAAGGAGGACAGAAGGAAGAGGAGCATATTGTGCTTTGAGCCACCCCATCTTTGGACTAATTATGACAGATAATGAATTTCCCTGAAGTTTAAAGAGAGTTATCAGGATTTTCTATTACTTGTAATCAAAAGCACTGACTCCAACAAAAAAGCTAACTGATCCTAACTGATAAAAGATGGCTATAAACTCATCACTTCATTTAGTAAGAGAACAATAAAAGTTACTTCTGAAGTTTTTTTATTTTATTCAACTACTCCCCAGGCAGTACCTTGGTGCTTTACTGTGATCAGTAAATATCCCTAAGGTAACTATCAAATGCCTCAAAGGTGCTACTCTCATAATTATAGAACACAGCTAACAAAGAAGGGAAAAAAAAAAAAATCAAGACAAGAACAAGAAGAAATACAAGAGAAACAAAGAATTTTGTTTAGGGACCTAACTCTACATAATTTTAGGCCAAAAGAAAAAAAGATATTATTTCTAACAAGCATTAAGCCAAACAAAATTAAATAAAATTTACTGATGTTCAAGGTTCACTAATTTCAGTGGCCTAGTGTCAACCACAAACAAAAGAACTTAAATAAATGGCCCAATTACTAATTTCTTTAACCACTAGAAATTGTCTCCCAGAATTAGAAATTTTTCACTTCTCTTCATTTTGACCCTTTACTTTCCTTCCTATTTACTGTCAGGCTAAATCACACACTGCCACTTACTGTCAGGTTTTTCCGTTACAAATTTGCTGAGGGGTAGTGATTCGGTGTGTTTCCTCAAAGCCAGCACCTCATTACCCTGAGTCTAGCACAGTAATAAGTAAAGCAAGCACTTCATCTATTTGCCAGATTAAATTCAGGATTCCCACAGGGTTACTACTTTTCTAGGTCTGGCCTTCAACTACATCAAATGCTTCATTTGAATATGTATCTAATAAAGGCAAGATCACTGTTTACACAAATACAACATGCTTTAGAGAAATTTCAACTTATAATACTAATTAAAAGATTTCTCTCAATTTAGAAACATCCTCTAATGTGAAGAAGAAACAACAGACAGGGATAGCATGCCTTTAAAATGCTTGAGGGTACTATCCCTCAGATTCTTCTTTGAATGTCCACAGGACCACCTCGATGCCTTATTTGTATGCAGAAAAACATTATCTATCAGGCAAATGAATAATTATTTTTCAACTAATAACAATGTGCAGCAAAATCTATTTCAGTTTCTAAGTCCAACATACTAAGATAGACTGAAATTTATTGAATCCCAAAGAAAAAAATAGCAGTAATAGAGTTTTAAAGTACATAAAGCATTTTTTGCTAAAAATACAAATATTTTAGGAAAGTTTATACAGTGACACTGTAATTTTCAATAACCGTTTCACCAATTAGGAGAAAAAAGTTAATTTCTATTACAAAAAATACCAATCCATACCCACCTCTGTGAATAATTTTCAAGTTTTCTTTTAAGTGGTTTAGTGCTTTCACAGTCTAGGGAGAAAAAGGAGAGATGGGATAAACAACTTGTTTCTTTTTATTCAAACAGCACAACAGTTTATCACAAGTAATATCCCGTGTAGTCCTCTGCATACATTTTAAGCTTAATATTTCAATATTTTGTCATTTCTTGTTAACCAAAGATACTGAATAATTTTAGATCTAAAAGCTTAGTTGCCTTTATATGCTGTTCCCTGATAGCTCAAACAAACAAAAAACCCAGTAACTTAGACTTATAATTTGTTTAATAATTCATTTAAAATTTTATCTTTTTTCCTATCTCCAACCTAAAATTTCCTTTTTTTTTTTCCCTTTTTATTTTGAGACTGGGTCTCGCTCCCACCACAGCCTGCCAAGTAGCTGGGACTACAGATGCATGCCTGGCTAACTTTTTACATCTTTAGTATGGACAGGGTTCTCACTATGTTGCCCAAGCTGATCTCAAATTCCTGGGCTCAAGCGATCCTTCTGCCTCGGCCTCTCAAACTGCTGGGATTACAGGCATGAACCATTGTGCCTGGCCTCTAAAATGTTCAAAAATAAAAACAGGACAACAATGATCACTGAGTTGGTTCCATTTCAACTAAGAGTAATAACTTGCAGCAAAATCGATTTCAATTTCTAAGTCCAGTAGTAAATAAAAAAGTTTTCTAAACTCTCAGTTCCTCATCATCATCCACCCTCATTGGATGCTAAGCCTTCAAGGTGATGTTTGAAGAGCTAGTGTAAACTCTGTTCACCACTGTGGGAATTTATCCTGTTGCCTGGTCACTGATCATGATCAGAAAATTACACATTTCTTCAGGAAGGGAAGGAAAAGAGACACAACCTCAAACTAAAAGAGAACTAAACAACAGGCCAACTATTTGCTGTAAGGTGACGTCTTTGCTGACGTCAAGCTGCTAGGTACAAGAAATGTAGAACACATAAATTTGTTGTGAATAGCTATGCTTGTTTGCTGGTTTATTAATTAGCAAGAAGAGACTAAATACAAAGTATTTTACATGTGTGCTTAATATATATAAAGTGATCACCAAGTCTTGACTTAGGCAAATATGGAATAAATCATTTTTTACAGTATATATTCTTTATATTGCAATATATGATAAAATAATTTTCTGTTTTCTAATTTCATGGTCACCCTGTTATACAGCGGTTAAGAGCAGGGTTCTGGGATCAGGCTGCCTGGATTTAGATTATTTACCACTTACACACTTCAAAGCATATTAATTATTTAATCTGTCTATGCTTCAGATTTATCATTCATAAAAATGAGGTAACACTATTTACCACAGAGAGTTACTATGAAGATTTAATGTCACAAATAGTTTGATGCAAATAAGCATTTAATAACCATTAGCTATTATCATTTTTCTATTATTATAATTATTACAAATAGTAAGTTTCAAGATAACACGGGTTTAATATATTAGAGAGAGATGGCTAAACTAATCATTGTAAAATTTCATATACCCCGCTAAATAATAAGTTTCTAGTCTAAGTTAGCTTCTTTTTATACAATTATTTTTATAAAATTTAAAAATAAAATGATTTCATAAAATCTTTTTATGAAATTATTTGAAAGAGTATATATCTTGGTGAACTACATTGGAGGGGGAGTATGCAGGTAAGGAAGAGCTAGGAAATTACATGCAACCAAAGTATCTATTTTACAATTTCCTGTATGATTTAGTTTATATATCAACTAACCTAGAACATGCCATTAGCTCAGATTCTCAGGAGTTTCTAAGAATCTTATGAATTTTGCTCTATAAAAAGTAAATTATCTTTTTCCTTTAGGAAAAAAAATTAAGATTCAGAGCAAGAAACAAAGTGATCAATTCACTTTCAAAACTATAAACACATATGTAAAAAAGTAGCTATTTTCTTTTTTGGTACTCTGGTAAAAGTGAGTTAACCAAATTTAGTAGTAACACTGGCCCCTGAAACTGCTAGTCAAAATTTTAAATAGTTTAGACTGAATAACCAAAATCTTAAATCACAGTAAACATACTTTGTCCAAGGGCTTCAATTATGGAGTAACCAAAATCTTAAATCACAGTAAACAAACTTTGTCCAAGGGCTTCAATTATGGGGCTTCAAGGAGACTGCTGTGATTCTGATTAATTTCAGGATAACTGTGGTAATATAACCTATTTAAAAATAGTTAAAGCAACAGGAAAAAATGAACAGAAAATTGCTTTTCCTAGCTTTATTTACAGAACAGTCTGTTATGACTCATTGAGATTCAAAGGGAAAGAACATTGGCAGTATTTATCGAGACCATTATGACCTATTGTGTTAACTACCCCACAGAAGTGACTTTGTCTCTGGTTATTAACTATGAATTATTTTCAGGAAGGTACTGTGAGTGACACTCAAATATGTGCATTCAAAACTCCAGCAGCATCTCTATATAACTATATACACAATGAATAATTTAAAGACCAGGTACTTACTGCTAAAGTGATTTTGCCTAAAATTTCTTCTGGAATAACATCATCTAATACACTATATACATATTTGTAAAACTTATCAAACGAGGTAGACATGAGTTCCATACAGATCCAACAGTCACCCTATAAAATAACAAATATCTGTTATTCTTATACATCTTAAATATCACCTTGCCTTTACTTAAAATGGAAATACAATAGAAAGGAGCAATCTTATTCTTGCTTATTTCAAATGTCAAACTAGTAATAATTTTTGTTTTCTTGTTAAAGCCTTCAACAGAATATTCTACTCAGGTTTAAACATAAACAATGTAGTTAAAGCCAATTTTCCCCACTCTTTAATTGTATGGACAGGGACAGGCTTACACAGAAAACTTCTGTGCTTTCATTAAAATTTCAAATTTTGCCAAAATAGAAAAAAAAATAGGAAATGTGTAGAAAACCATTCTTACTAACAATGAAAATAGATGACAGTAATCTTAAGAGACTACATAAACTTCTTAAATTAGCCAAAAAAAAAAAAAAAAAAAGGAAAAAGACAAAAATACATAAAGTAAATCCCATGCCTCAAGACCCCGTACAAATGCCACCTTCTCAGTGAGGCCTACTTTAACTGATGCAAAGCGCAAGTCATCCCATCAGGCACTCCCTTATCCTGCTCTGTTCTGTAAAGCCTTCATCATCCTCTAATATAAAGTGTAATTTACTTATTTATTATGTTTGTCTCATATATTCCCTACTAGAATGTAACCTCTGCCAGAACAAAGACTCAATAAATACTTGTTAAATGACTGGATGCTGGCTATAATTAAACTGAATCATTCAAACATTTCTTGCATTATAGATTGTTTTAAACCAATTTGAAAGCAATTTGACAATAAAACAGAAATAAATGTGTTGATACCATTTTATAGAATCATCCTATGACTGGGAATGTAACTTAAATGTTCCATAAATTACAAAAAGAAAAAACAAAACAAAACTAGAAACCGAGGAACTATCTCACAAAAGGGAATACAACAACATTAAAGAGATTATCTAAAATCAATTTTTTTGAAAATGAATACAGTTCATGAGAGAGATGCATGAGTCATGAAAAAATAAAAAATAAAAGTAGATACCATGATTATAACTGTAAAAGTACAGGATACACAGATGAACAAGAACTACAAAGTACCTTACAAAAATGAAAATACTATCAAAATGATTTTTAAAAAATTATACAGTTCTGTATGTTGTTACTTATTTATAAATACAGCTGTATCATCAAAGATTTTCTACCCATTAATCTCCTATCCTTCGATTATATAATAATTATATAATCAATCCTATCCTTGGATTATATAGGAGATTAATGCCTGTTAAAAGTAAAATTACTTGCCCAGAACAATACACTACCCATGAATAGAATCCACTGTCCCTAATGTGTTTCTTCTATCAACGTTTGCCATGCACTCTTACAAAAGGACCACTTTCTAGAACATTCACAGATACATGGCTATACATAATGTTTTTGTAAAGCATATTTGACGTAGTAAATTTTACTTATTATTTCTGCATTTAAATCTTTCTTCTCTCTGTAAATCTCTTTTTCTTTAGAGTGATCTATGAGAATGGCTATCATGAAAGATCGAGTAACACCCTCCACCCAAAACAGACACAGCTTTATTTTAGAGACACTATCTAAATAGGTTTACTAAAAAATCTTATTAGAGACATACAGCACATTTACTTCATCCACTTATAAAAACAGTAGAAAGAAACAACCTCAATAATATAGCAAAGCGGAAAAAAAAATGACATTAGGAGTCTGAAAAGCCTGACATTATCCAAGCTCTCCTACTTTCTACTTATATAAGCTTGGGCCTCCTCGCATCCTCAGCTATGAAATGAGACTGCCCCACCATCCTCAGTGGACTGTGATAAAGGGCAAATGAGTTAACATATGCAAAGCACAAACTAAAGTGCCTGGCAGGTGCTAAAAACTATAGTTACCAAATGGAAGGGAGAAGGAAGGGAAATGTGGGCAAATAAAAGAGAAAGATGGACATGGGAGTGGGAGAATAAAGGTAACAAGTAAACCGAGAACTGAAGATGAGAAGGGGGGACAGAAAAGAGCAATGAGATAGAGAGGTCTTTGTGATTTTTAAGGAACATAACCTAATGTAACCTTCTTATCTCTCTGACAGTTCCTTTTGGTCATACAAACAACACAATGGCAATGAGCTGCATTTAAAAAATGAAATGCTCTGAGCTGCCTGAAAAAGGTAGTGACAGCAGCATGACTGTCATGCTCAAGCAGAAAACAGGATGACCACAGGTCTGAAATGCAGAAGAAGTGAATAAATGTGGGTTTATTGGGGGAAAAAAAGCTGGAGAATGATGAACAACTCAACTACTAAGGTAACATAAGGAAGGGTTCCTAAAGATCCGTATATAACCAATAACATATACCAATAACTAATTCGAAAATAAAAAGATATCATTCTCAATAAAAATATAAACTAAGTCACCAGGAAATGTATCTAATAAAATAGGCAGAACCTTTATGAAAACAAATATAAAATGTTACTAAAGGACATAACAATAACCTGAACAAATGGAGTAGCAGACCATGATTACAAATGTGAAGATTCAAGATGAGAAGCACGTCAAATTCTCCCAAATTAATCTAAGAATTCAGTTAAATTCTAATCAAAATTTTCAAGGACCTGAACAAGCTGACCCTAAAGCTTATATTAAAGTAGAGCCAAGAATAACTAAGATAATTTTAAAGAAGAGATACTGACCTACTACACAAAGACTTTTTATGAAGCAATCACAAATAAAAGATAAATACACCAAAGAAACAGATGCAAAAGTTCATGCACAGACAGAAATCTGATATATGACAGAAGTTAACAAAGCAGATCATAGCAAAAGAATGCATTATTCAATGAATGCTGCTGGGACAACTGGCCTTCCATATAGAAAAACATTAAATTCTGACATTAAATCATTCACAAATATATATACAAAAACTCCCAAATGGATTTTGCAAAAAGCAAAAGTTTAAAACTTTTTTTCTAAGAGTTCTCCATGACTTTTATATAGGAAAAAAATTTTTCCCAAGAACACACATAAAAACAACAAATCACAAAGGATAAGACCTGTTAAATTTAACCCCATAATAATGAACACTTGTGTATAAACAAGGACAACATACCAAAAGTTTAAAAATAAGAGACAAAAACATCTATTTGGATGTAAAGAAACAAAAGATCAGTATCCTGAATAATAAAGAGTTATGCTAAACTAATTAGGGAAAGACCAAACTCAGTAGAATTATATCAAAGGCAATTTTTTTTTAAAAAAAGCCTAAATACATGTAAAAAATTCTGTATCTCACCAATCAAGGAAATGCAATTTTAAAAGTGAGATACCATTTCAAACTGCCAAAAATTAAACGTTTATTATCAAATGTTAGTACACACCAGGTAAAAGGAGATCTGTGACAGTAAATGCTGATGGCATACTAAATAACCATTCCCCCTTTCCTCTGTACAATGTATGTGGCTAAAATCTACATTTCCCAGTCTTTAAAGTATAGAAAGGCAGCCAAAGAGGTATCAACACAAAACCACTGGTTTGTGACTCCAGGAAAATCCTTTTAGTTCTTCCCTTTTCTTTTCCTTCGTGTGGACATGATAGCTGAACTCTAGGAGCCAATGTGGATCATGAGGTAACCTTAACAACTGAAACTATAAAGTAAGCAAGCTACTAACAGTCAGGAATGGCTGATACCAAATACAATTATTGATATAGAAATTTTGGTGGAAATTTAAGTCGGTACTCCAGTTGGAGACATTTGTATCATTAAATTTAGTAACTGTATTTCCAGGGACATATGCTAAATAATCTGTAACCTAAGTTGTCAAAGAGACATGCAAAACAATTCTTCATTTTTGTGCTGTTTATAATTATAAAAAAATGAGAAGCAATCTACATTATGATTATTTCTAAAAAAATAAAATAAAAAGGTGTATTTAATCATTAGAATACTACAGTTAAAATAAATTAACTAAATCTGTATATTACGAATCTATATTTACATAAATCTTGAAAACTATGTTGAATAAAACTATGTTGAATAAAATGTACAATAAAGAACGCATATAGGATTCCATTTACTTAAATGTGAAAATACATAAAGCGATATTATGTAAAATGTAGGGGAAAATGCACATATGGATGACCTAAACAAACAAGTTAAAGGAAACACTCAGGGTAGTGATGAGATCTGGAAAGGGAAATGTGATGAGGGCTTTAATTCTATTTATAATATTTGAAGACATATAAAGAGTAAATATGCCAATATAGGATTTGGGTAGCTGTTTCTCCTCTGTAATTTAGTCTATGTTTAAAAAATTTCACAGTTTAAAAGGAACATGGACCACCTTAAGAAACAAACAAAAAAAGCAAATTAAGCAAAAATAAGTAAAAGGAAGAAACCACAATCAGAACGAACACCGCTCCCCGTCAAAAAAAATAATAATAGAAAAGCAATACAGAAAATCATGTAACGGAGGCCAGACGCCATGGCTCACACCTGTAATTCCAATGCTTTAGGGGGCCAAGGTGGGAGGATGGCTTGAGGCCAGGAGTTTGAGACTAGCCTGGTCAACAAAGTGAGACCCCACCTCCAAAAAAAAAAAAAAAAATTCAATTAGCAGGGTGGTGGTAGTGCATGCCTGTAGTCCCAGCTACTCAGGAGACTGATGTGGGAAGATCCCTTGAGCCCAGGAGTTCAAGGTTGGGTTGAGCTAGGATGATGCCACTGCACTCCAGCCTGGGCCACAGAGCAAGACCCTGACTTTTTTTTTTTTTTTTTTTTAAAGATAAGAAAAGAAAAGAAAATCATTTAACTGAGAGCTAGCTGGTTCATCGAGATCATCAATAACATTGATAAACCTCTAGCTGGACTAATTGGGAAGAAAAAAAGAAGACATAAATTACCAGTATCAGAAACAAGTGGGAGGGAGGGGGAGACAGGGAAGACAGAAGTAACACACTACAGACTCTACCAATATTAAAATAATAAAAAAGAAATATTATGAATAATTTTATTCCAATAAATTTGATAATTTAGATGAAAGGGATAAATTTCTTCAAAGAAACAAATACCAAAGATCACTCGACAAGAAATACGTAACTTGAATAGAACTATATCTTTGAAAGAAGCTGGATATTCAGTCAAAAATATTCTCACAAAGAAATTGCCAAGTTCAAGTGGCTTCATTGGTAAATTCCATCAAATACTTACAGAAAAAATAATACCAATTCTATATAAATTCTTCCAGAAAATTCAGGAAGAAGAAATACTTCCCAACTCATCCTATGAGGCTAGCATTACAATGATGCAAGTCAGACAAAAATAAGAAAAGAAAACTATACATCAATGTCTCTCATAGATACAAAAATTTTAAATGAATTTTAGCAAATTAGCTAAATTTTAGTAATTTAACAAATTGAATCCAATGATAGATAAAAAAGATAAAACATCCTAACCAACTGGATTTCTCCCAGAAATAAAAGCTATGTTTAATATCTGAGATCAATTCATATAACTCACCATTATTAAAACAACAAACAAACCATACATCTCAAAAACATCTCAAGGATCTGGAAAAAGAATTTGACAAAAATCTAACATCCATTCCTGACAAAATCTCTCAGCAAACTAGGAGTAAAAAGAAACTTCCTTAACCTGATTAAAAATATATATATATGAAAAGTCCACAGCTAATATCATATTTAATGAAGGAAACATGAATGCTTTCCCTCTAGGATCAGGAAAAAAAACAAGGATGTCTACTCTCACTGTATCTACTCAACAGCATACTGAAGGTTCCAGCCAGTGCAATAAGGCAAGACAAAAATAAATAAAGGAACTAATTGGGAAAGAAAGGAGTAACTCTCTTTATTCACAGACAAAATGATGATCTATGTAGTAAATCTGAAGGCAGGTAAAAAAAGCTACTGGAATTTGAGTTTAGCAAGGTTGCTGCACACAAGATCAATATAAAAAAATCAAATGATATTTGTGCATTTAGTCACATGAGAAAATTAAATTTAAAAATACGTATTAGCATTAAAAATATTATACACTTAAGGGCAACTCTAGCAAAAGCATGAAAGACTTATACAGCGAAAACTATAAAATATTGCTGAGAAAAATTAAAGAAGATGTAAAATAATAAAGTGAGATGCCACAAAAAAGGGTCAACAGACTTAATACTGTTAAGATATCAATGCTCCCCCAGTAGACCTACAAATTAGAAAAATCCCAATAAAAATTTCAGCAGGTTGTTTTTTTGTTGTTGGTTTTTTTCGGGTTTTTTGGTAGAAATCGACAAGTGGATTCTAAAATCCACATGAAAATAGAAAGGATATGAAAGAGCCGAAACAACTTTTAAAAGAACAAAGTTTAAGGACCAACACTCTCAAATCTGAAGACTTTCTATAAAGCTGGAGTAGTCCAAGACCATGTGAGATCAGTGCAAAGACAGAAAAACAACAGATCAATGGAACAGAGCAGATACTCCAGAAATAGACACACATCTGTATGGACAACTGATATCTGATAAAGGTGCAAAGGATATCCACATGCAAAAAAAAATCATCAATATATAACTCTCGATATATATAAAAACTAACTCCAAATGGATAAGTATAAATGTGATACCTAAAACTATAAAACTGCTAGGAGAATACATAAGAGATAATCTTAAGTGAGCTTGAGTTAGACAAGAGCTCTTATACACAACATCAAAAGCACAATACACAAATTTAAAAATTGGCCTATATCAACATTAAAAACTTTTGCTCTCCAAAAACACTGTGAAGAATAGATATATATAAAGATAAGCGCAGACAGGAGACAGTATCTGCAAATCATAGGTCTGATAATAAACTTGTATTCAAAACACATTTTTAAAAACCTCCCAAAACCGAATAACAAAAAAACCCAATTTAAATAAAAATGTACAACAGATTTTAACAGGAACTTCATCAAAGATATACGGTTGGTAAATAAGCACATGAAAAGACATTCAACACTGTTAGTCATTAGAAACATGCAAATTAAAAATACAGAGATTCCACCACACATTTACTAGAACGGCTAAAGATTAACACAACACATCACACTAAGTGCTGGAATAGACATGGAAGAAGCTGAACTCTCAAAAACTACTGGTGAAAGTATAAAATGGTACAACTACCTTAGAAAAAAGTTTGTCCATTTTTTAAAAAGTTAAACATACACCTACCATATGATCCAGCCATTCCACCCCCATGTAATTACCCCAGGAAAATAAAAGCTTATGTACAAACAATTGTACATAAATGCTCAAAGCAACTTTATTAGTAACAGACAAAAACTGAAAACAATCCAAATGGCCATCAACAGGTAAATGAGTAACAAACTGATAGATCTGCATAATGGAACATTACAGATAGTACTTGGCAATACAAAGAAATAAATGACTGATAAATGCAAGATAATTATACTGAATGAAAGACGACAAACTGAAAAAGAGAAGTACATACTGTAAGATTCCGTTTACATAAAATCTAGAAAAATACAAATTAATCTATAATGGCATAAAGCAGGTCAGTGGTTATCTGAGAATGGGGACAGCAGAGAGGTGGCAGGTATTACCTACGTGGTGTAAGGAAACTCGTAAGTGATGGGCATATTCATTACCTTGATTTTGGTGATAATTCTACAGGTGTATACATTTGTTCAAACATATCAAACTGTACACTTTACATGTGGGAAGTTTATCAGATGTCAATTTTACCTCCATAAGCTGCATTTAAAACTTGCAAGGAGAAAGAAGAGGGAAAGGAGAAGAGGGGTGGAAGTAAGGATAAAAAAGGGGGAGGTAACTTGCTTCAGCCAGCATCACTGCCTTCTATAATCTGATGAACTTCTACATTCACAAGTTACTCAGAACAGTGCTTTCTGCACTAGAATTTATTGCCCAACCTCAAAAGATGTTTAAAATAAGAGTTTACCTGCTATGAAATTCTCAAATTTTATGTATTAGAAAAATTTTTAAGTGATACTAGGTTTCAGCACTGTTAAGATAAATGGTAGGTCTTTTTTGTAAAATATAGGCTAAAAGTTACTTCCATTATTCAATTATTATCAAGCTCTTTTTTCCACCTACCTACAAAGCCTGAAAATGACTTTTAGGAACCTGTGCAACTGAGTGACCTAATAACTTATCTAAACCAAATCCAAGCTGTACTTTGGACTTTTCTTTTTGAGGTTGGTTCCATCCTAGAAAGAAGTATGCATGGTTGAAGATAGTGGCAACATAGAAGTTACCAACTTCAGTATTAAGGATTATTCACTGCTTTGAATAAGTGACGGAACTTTCAGAAGCTCAATATTACCCAACAGCAAGATTAATCTCTAATTAGTGGAACTACCATTTGATCCAGCAATCCTACTACTGGGTATCTACCCAAAGAAAAATAAATCATTATATCAAAAAGGTATCTGCACTGGTATGCTTATGGCAGCACTATGTATAATAGCAAAGTCACAGAATCAACCTAAATGTCCACATTTTTAAAAATGTGACATATATACACAATAGACAGTGACAGCCATTAAAAAAAGAATGAAATCATGTTTTTTTTTTTTTGTAGCAACACGGATACACTGGAGGCCATTATCTTTAGTGAAACAAACCAGAAACAGAAAGACAAATACTGCATGTTCTCGCTTATAAGGGGGAGCTAAATCATGTGCACACATGGACAGAATACGGAACTGGAGACCTTGGAGACACAGAAGGGAGGGAGGAGTTGAACGGGGTGGATGATGAAAAATTACTTGATGGGTACAATTTACATTGTTTGGGTGATGGATACACTAAAAACACAAACTGTACCACTACTCAATATATTCATATAAAAAAACTGCACTTGTACCCCTTAAATTTAAATAACATTTAAATTTAAATAAATAAATAGTTGCTGCAAGAATGAGAAAAGGAACATCTCATAAGCTCCTTGATGGATGGCTGACTGAACCAAACCAAGAGCTGAGTCTAGTGGTTGTATAAATTAGGTGAAATGAAATCCCTGGAGGGTGTCTCACAGTAACAGGAATTGAAAGCACTGTCTCTCTCACAGTGATAGTAAGGTAAGCTAAAAAGTCCTGACTACATACATTCATTTCTACTATTTCCTTTCATGAACTCAGATTTTGTGTCTATTATTGGAACTGAAGGTCATGTCACCAAAAAAGATGCATGTTTAAGTCATCAACTGCAAAACAAAAATGTTTCTTTAAAGTCTTATTCAATCTGTTTATTACTTACATATATATGAAAATATATATATATATACATACACACATACTTTTTTTTTTTTTTTGAGATGGAGTCTCGCTCTGTTGCCCAGGCTGGACTGCAGCGGCATGATCTTGGCTCACTGCAACCTCCGCCTCCTGGATTCAAGCGATTCTTCTGCCTCAGCCTCCCAAGTAGCCGGGACTACAGGCATGTGCCACCACGCCTGGCTAATTTTTGTATTTTTAATAAAGATGCAGTGTCACCATATTGGCCAGGCTGGTCTCGGGCTCCTGACCTCGTGATCCGCCCACCTCGGCCTCCTGAAGTGCTGGGATTACAGGCTTGAGCCACCGTGCCCGGCCATTTTAATATTTTTAACCTTTGTAACTTCGGGAAATACACTTTTACTATTCACTCTTTAAAGGTGACTAATAAAAGTAACACTTTTATTGTAAAACTACACTTTTATTGTAAAACTATTGAAAAACTATATTTTTATTGTAAAACATACTATTGTAAAAGTTGTTACTTTCTGCTTTTCTAAAACTCTTATTATTCAGAAAGTACCTATTACAGACTGCATTCTGATTTGGGAGGAAAGTTCATGTTTCATCTACTTAGGTATTTTGTGTCTTTGTACAGCTTAACTGTGTAGTTCCTAAGCCTTCACCTTATCACACATCTTATCCTGTCAAAAATCTTATTTAAAAAGCATATATATATCTTCATATCTGGACCACTTCTAATAAAATAGAAGGAACAGCAAGATTTCTGTCTCTGGAATCCCATCTCTGCTACTTGTTGGCTGTGTAACTTTTGTCAAACACACTAAATTTCATTTTCCTATCTGGAAAAAGGGGATAGATAATACCACCAAATCCCGAAGATTACTGGGAAGAAAACATATGTGAAAACAACAAAGCATTCAACAGACGTTAGTGTTTACAGCTGCATATGTCAACTCCCTTCAACCTTTCTGAGACATAAAACCAAATGTGACTCAGCTATCCATGATAACAAAACCATGGGAATATTGTTCAGACACCACTCCAAGCTTCCGTGCTTTGTTTCCACATCTTTGTCAATCATGAATATGACTTACTCTGCTTTCTTTTCATACAATCAGATTCCCACACTATCTAGCCCAAGGCTAGGTGTGTAAATGGTACATGAATGATTAAATAAATGAACAAATGAAATAAATTGGTATATTCCAGCACTATGGAGGTGATTTAGGGTTCAGGCAGAGCTGGGGAAAGTCTATAATGAAAACGAATACAGCACTGAAAAAGTTGACCACAGAATCTAGTTAGGAGAGAAAATCTAGTTCAGTCCCTAATTAACTAATTAACTATTGTTCTGCATATGGTGTGATGATTTAATGATCGTGAAGAAAAGTTCATAGTTGGGAATAAAGGGAGGAAGATATGGTAAGATTCTTGTGCAACATGAAGAAAGTTCCAAACATTTAGAATAACATTACATAATATTTAGGTCCAAGATACAGTCATGCACATGAATACATGACTGTATACTGATGTAACGGAATGCTGATGTGAAATGATGGAAGAAAATTAATAAATTCAGTATATCTGGTCATAAAAATGAATATTCTCATTATTTAAAGACAGGAATAGAAAAAAACTACGAGTTGAGAATTAACAATTAGTGATTCAACAAAGAAATGGGCTCTGTCATGAAGCAGAATGTGTTGTTACTAGTTACCTAGTAAGAGCCCAGAAAAACAAACAAAAACTTCAGAATTAGGTTTAGAATTAACTAACCTCTAACATTGTTTCCAATTATAAGATTGCATATACTTCTACTCAGTGCTACATTCAGCCCTGTTTCAAAAATATATATTAATTTTAAAGCCAATAACAACAAAAACCCCAAGGATACACTCTATAATCCCATCCCAAAAAGAAGAGAGCAGGAGGGTTTTTCTTACCAGTTTATAACAACTCGGTTATTCATCCTAACATTTGCAAAATGAGAAAGGTATTTTTTTTAGAGAGTATTTGAAATGCTTAGCAGTTCAGTTCAAGTCCTACTCAACTAAGTATCACAATTTTTGATGGCGGTCTAGGATATCATAATGTATTAATTCATTTACAGCTCCAGTTCTACCCCTAGCCCAAACTCACTTCCACATTTTAGGCAGCTGGATGACTGGAAATGAGTAAGTGGATTGAGAGCTGGAGGCAGAAATGATAACCCAAGTTGGGACACAAAATAACCAGAGGCCAAAAGAAGAAACATGATTATGAGACCAAGAAATTAGAGCTTTAGTTTCTACACAAAAATCTGGATAAGAGAATTAGAAAAAAATAATTTATATTGTAATTGTTAATTTCCATGTCTGATGGGTATACTTCAGGATTATGGGCAGGGACACATAAGTGTTTATATTAAATGCAGACATACACTTGATGACAGATGAGTAAAAGTTAAAATATAAAGTTGGCGGCGGGGGGGGGGGGGGGGGGGGGAGGCGTTGCTCAAGGCCCAATGAAAATCTAAAACTATAGCAAAAGTGCTGATATTTAGAAGTCAGCTGATTTTTCAGGTTCTTAAAGAACAGAAAATATTTGTATGAGATTTACAAATGACAGCCACCAATACTAAAATACACACACACACACACACACACACACACACACAAACACACGTGTGATTCACCCCTTACCCACCACCGCAAAAAGAGTCAGAAGTTAATATGTAAATTACCATGGTTAAACACTAAGATACTGAGATATTAACTTATTACTAATGTATGGCATTTAAGAATAGAATCGAATCCTGCCATCTTCATTTGTCCCAATTAGATATTCATTAGTCAGCTAAAACCCAGTTTATTCCTACCTCTCTGAAGAGTGCACCATAAAACTGAACAATGTATGGGCAATCACTACTCCGCATTACTACATCCAAATCCATAAGAAGTTGTTTTTGTTCTTTTTCATCCACTGTTGACCGAATTCTCTGGAAAAGAATGACAAAAGATGTCAAAAAAACACAATAATTTTGTCAAAAACACCAATAATTTTTAGTCTCATGGTAGAGAAAAACCGTTACGAGACTAAAAATTACCAAACTTCACAAATACCAGATATGAAAATTATCATCTTTCCTTATACTTCACAAGAATTACTTTAATCACAGAAAGTTTAACAAACAGCACTTAGAAATCCTTTAAAGGAGACAGGGCAATTTAACCATGAGCATTTACTAATAATGTTGGGAGTTATGCAACAAAGTTCTTAGGCAGTAAAAATTAACCCCCACATGCAAATATAAAGAAAATGATAATGAGTTTTAACAGTTTCATATGAATAATTATAGGTAGCTGTATACATACTTTTAATCACCGTTTCAAAATTGTATGCAATCTAGGCATTCAATGCAAGAACATCCCTCTTCACTCATTCACTCATGAGGACACTCATACCACAGTGTCCTCATTCATAAAGACGGGAAATAGTCCAGAACCGGATAAAGTGAATACTAGTATAGGAGCAGTGCACCAGGCAAGAATCCAGGTCTCCAAAATCCTAGATTGGGACTCTGTCCTTTAACTGCACTTTCTATACATTAAAAACAAAAAGTTCTACCTGACTCTCCAACCCATGAGTCAGCATGTAGGGCAGCATAAACCTGTGGAAGAAAACCTAAAACTGAGGAAACAGAGGGCTCTTTTTGTCTATTCCTAAGGTGCTAAAGCGCTCCTCCATATACTGCAGACCAGGGATATATTCCTAACCAAGCTGTACAACAATTTCTTTGCACATTTCTAAGAGACTGCCAGAAAACATTAAGTACCCCACCTCCTCCCACCTCTTATTCAGGAACAGTATAGAACACAGAGGTGTTGGGAGGGACAATATAGGAAAGAATCATGTTCAGAAATTATAAAAAAATAATAATAAAATTATAGTTTAACATCAAAGCATGCAAACAACTTCTGTTCTCATAAAAAAGTTCACAATGTCACATCACGCCACTGTGTACAATACATAGTGTGTACTTACAAGGCAAGTTAGTATCAAAAAATACACAAGGTGGCATTTTGTCTTCCAAAGACTTCGAAGTATCTGTCAAATGTTCTTGAAAGGGATGAAGGCAGTCAATTAAATTCTTGAGCCCATTTTACAGAAAAGAAGCCAGAGGCACAAAGAGATATAGAAGATGTATTTCATGTGACATGAGAATAAGCAGTTGTTTAAGGAACAGAAGTAGGTTCTCTCCGTTTCATTTTTGAGGAATTCCATATATTCCAAACAAATTTAATTTTGCTACTTAAAATTTACAGCTTGCTACCTACAGTATTTCATAAGCAAATAAAATTTAGTAACTGGCATCTATGTTACAGACACAGATTTACCTACAACTTTTATATTAAATATCAATGCTCAGATAAACAAGCACTAAAGTAAGAATGAAAAATGGAAACAAAATAAGACTAGTTCTATTAACGTTAAGGAAAGTTTCCCTTCTTTCTCATTTTGATTATTTTCATAGTTTATGGATTAATAATCTTACTTTTAAATCAACTTCAGCATGTTTGCTCAAAAAGGATATTTTTAAAAGTCAAAATAGCCCAGAGATGTGATCTGTATTTGTTCAAAGCATGATGTAATAATTTTTGTAAATATTCTACCTTTATACCTGTTTTTTAAAAAATAACTCTAAAAGTGTAGCTGTGAAAATGCTAATTTAGGAAGGTAATTATTTATAAAAGAATCTTAATAATCCTATATATCTAAATTTAAAACAGACGAAGAGTTGTTTAATATTAGAGACAAGTAGAGAAGAAAAATCAAATAACCCTTTGGTTGGGGAAGATTTCTACCTCTCACTATTAAAAGGTGTTAACAAATGTATTTTTTTCTATTTTTACTAGTATGAATATATTGGCAAATGGATATATACTAACACACATAAACTACTATTTTTAAAAGGTGTCCTCTTTACTAGTTTATCTTTTGTTTCACAAAACTGGTTGTGTGGTATGCTAAATACACATTTGTACAAATATTTATATTTCAACTAGGAAGCATATTACAGTCAAAACCTCAACAGTTATCATCAATAACTGACTTTTGGGAGCGAGCCTGTGTCCGAAAACCCTACCGTAGCTACAGAAAGGATATATGGACTACATGATCTAAAGGCCTAACTGAAGTTCCAACATCTTACTGATACCTAACACTGAGACAATCTCTGACAGAATTGTTACTAATCAGAATGTAGAGAGTTCCTAGCACAGCTCTATCTTTGAGATCATCAGCACTGGCAGGAAAACCTATTCATCTGTAAGTATTCTTTAATGTCACTTTAGTACAAAATAGAACACAGAGCAGCTGAATGGCCTACTAGTCTAACATGAAATTGATTGTGCTTTTCAAGAGATCAACACCTCCCCACATTCTCTGAACATTTTGTCTAAGTATCTGGCAGTAGGTAGAAAAGTAGCTGCTGGTATTGCATCTGAATTGTTTGGAATTGAACAAATACAGCTAACTTTTTTTTTTAAGACGGAGTCTTGCTCTTTCGCCCAGGCCGGAGTGCAGTGGCGCGATCTCGGCTCACTGCAAGCTCCTCCTCCCGGGTTGATGCCATTCTTCTGCCTCAGCCTCCCGAGTAGCTGGGACTACAGGCGCCCGCCACCACTCCTGGCTAATTTTTTGTATTTTTAGTAGAGACGGGGTTTCACCGTGTTAACCAGGATAGTCTCGATCTCCTGACCTCGTGATCCGCCTGCCTCGGCCTCCCAAAGTGCTGGGATTACAGGCGTGAGCCACTGTGACCGACCTGCTAACTCTTAATTATACTAATGTTTTAGGGTTGAACTGTAACATTTATCATATGTGAGGAATTAATAAACTATTTCAAAAGGCCTAAAGGACCCCAAAAGGGGATCAACTACAAACACATGCCTATAATAGCAGTAACTTCAAATTAGTGATTTTAATAACTCAATAAATAACTCAAGTAGAATACATAATGACAATCAACAATTCAAATTAGAGAATACTTAAGAGACTAAAGCTACTACCAAGAAAGTTTTTCTAATGAACCATCAAAACAATATCTATGGGAAAGACTTCTACATTTGAATCAAGTGAGTCCAGGATCTTCTAACATTAAAGGAGCATAACTACCTAAAAATTGAACATCAATAAGAACAAACTTCTCTTCCCTTTATAAAGCTGTCCTTAAGAGCACAGAAAAATGGAAGTAACAAGGTGACGCCAATTATATGACTTGAAATCCTCATAATCATAATGTTCAGAAGCAACAACCATTGATAAAAAACTTTGAATAGCAGGAAAATTTCATTTATTTATATAAATTTAAAAGTTAGATAAGGCTGTTTACTTGAGCTCAGCAAACCTTTTTTTCCCTGGCAGTAAATAGTAGAATGAAAACTACAGGAAACCATAAAATACTTAAGAAAATCAACTCAAGAACATTAAGTTTTTTATATTATTTTCAAAATCATTCTTTTTCATTATGGGGTTACTGAGCTCTTTTACTTAACACTACTTTACTAACTTAGCTTAAGTTATTACACGCTTCCAGGAAAATTAAATTGTGTTTCTTGAAAAAGAATCCACATCTCTTTCCCAATAATAAAAAGTATTTTCAGATTATTTCAAGTTTTACTTTATTTGGAATATAACATAAAGAAAACATTGAAAATCAAAACAAAAATTACTACTCTACATATATAAGTAGTTTTCTATAGTAAAGAAATTTATAAACTTGAAGTTAATTTTTTTTAATTGGTGTCCAAATCTGTATTCAAGATTGCATATAAGCCCAATAAAGCAGGTAAATGCCAATAAAAACAGCAGGTAGATACAGGTCAGAAATGCCAACATCACTCCAATTGAGAGTCACTTAGAGACACAGGAAAAAAAGATTACATTCCCAGTTCTCTGGCTTTAAGACTATTAATATTATGCATGGTTCTTGTCCAATTAAAAAAAAATTCCAAAAAGCGTATTTTTTCTAAAACTGTCAGTCCAACTCATGCCATTGGTTGGATCAGCCACAAATTTAGTTGTTGGGAGTTCTGTATGGATTAGGCCGCGGTAATAGAAAGTTAACAAGTCCCATAGGACAAGCTAAAAATGTTCAGTTACAAATGATCCCCTTGTCCTCTACTCCATCTCGTCACAAAACACAGCAACATCCACTTGGTGAACAGTCCCAATCATATAGAAATGTCCCAAATTCCAAGTTGTTGAAAGGCTGCTTTCCTTCTTTTTGTGCAACATGGCACCTGGAAGTCATTGGTAGATTTAAATGTTGACAGCTTATAACATCGATGGACCAAAATCTTGAATAATATTTAGCCTCATGTGGAATGCCTCCATTTTTAACAACTTGAATTTAAAGTATAAATAACTCTTTTACTGATACTGAAGAACAATGTAAATGTGGTGCTGTTCTAGGTGTCCTCCAACTTTACACTGAGATCTCCAGGGGAGCTCTCTCTTCACAGTGACACAATTCTCCAGCCTCATATCCAAACCCTACCAAATCCATCTCTCACATACAATTTGTTGGTGCTCATCAGGGATGAATGACTAGCAATAAAACTAACATCGGTAAGTATGAAAAACTTTAAAGCAGACTATGACACATTGTTATCATGAAAAGGGACAAGAGGAACGAATAAAACTAAACTCGCTTAAGGACTGGAGTGGAAGAGCAAAGAAAAAGAAGCAAATAAGAGGATGGACAGAAACAGGCAGTATATACTGTCAAGGAAAACTAATTTATTCCCTTCTTACTCAGATATTATGCCTCAATCCCATCATAATGGTGACTTTTTGTTTGTTTGTTTATTTCCCTTCATTTTCTAAATTTGTTTTCATGGGTGGGAAGAGACAGGGAGAAGGGATAGTGGGAAAGCGCATGATGATGAAGTGATTGCTATTAAGGGGTAAGGTTAGGAAGACTCAAGTGTGGCAAAGGAAGGCAGGCTGACAACGCAAAGGCTAAGGATGGAGTTGCAGACGAGGCAAAATAAAGGCTCACGTTGTAGTTCCTAAGAAGCAGGTCACCAAGTAGCATTGTGCCTAGATGCTCAATAAATACCTGGCTGATTCTGATAGTGGTCCTTGCCAGTCACCCTGATTCAGAGTTAACCCTTACATCTCCATGTTAGGGTGCTCAAAGATATCTCAGTTACTAGAGAGGTCAGCACACACCTTATCCCAAAGCACCAGGGCCTGCCTTGAAATGACCCATTCTGTGACTGCCGGTGTCCTGATGTGACAACTACTGATTCTCCCAAATAACCCAGTTTTCCTTCCTACCAAGTTAAGCTCTTGAACAATGTATGTGAAGAGGCACTCTGGGTTACCTGATCCCATTCCTGCAGGGAGAAAGGGAAAATAATAGGTCATTATATACTCAAAAGACTCAAGAGTAAAAAAGGATCGGATGACAAGTCATATATGCACTTCATAAACAGAAGTTCTACGGAGGACATGACAGATGTCAGTTCCTAGGATCTGAACATTCTAGGCAAAAAGGATATGAGTCATCAGCAAACATGTAAGGAATCAAGAACTGAGGAGTCCAGAAAATGACTTTAGAAAGCAGTGGTGCCACAGACACACTTGAAAACAGCAACATAATCAAATAAACTTACAAAATGGCTATCAATTCTAACTGATGCTATTTTTGTTTTGTTTTAAAATGGAGACAATGCATGGAGGAATGAGATGTGAGGAGCATAAGAAATGGGAAAACTGACATGGAAGGACATGACCATCAGTCCTGGCAGATCTCTAAATTCTCACATGACAAATTCTTGTCAGGTGTTTGTATGGCTCAGCTGAGTGTCCGAGAGGGCAGTATAAAAAGACAGTAAGAGCAGAGTAGGAGATACATCTCCCTGCTGCACAGGTACACCTGTAGCTGCTTAGAGAAGTTAGGAATAGGTAGAGTATTCCAAAGTAAAAGACAGGTGAGTTCCTGGATCAGAAATTAGGACTCAGACACAATGAAACTCAGCAAGGTAACGAATTCAATCATTAGAGGAAATCAGTGTAGGGCTTTAGAGATTCTTCCAGGCACCAATTAAAACAAATAGACACAAGATAAAATAATGCAAGCTACTAGTAATTTGGCCATTAGCAAGGCAAAGCATCATTTCCAATTTACCACCAACCAAAATCAGAATACCAGAAGGCATTTACTCTTCAGCAATCTATGTGGAATCTGCTATAACTAGGTTAGCTAAAACCCATACTTCAGTGCAGGGGGCTTGTTCCCCTACATAAGCACCTACTATCATCTAAGGTTACCAAAAGAATCTGTATTCTGAGCCAGGCAGGGTGGCTCCCACCTGTAATCCCAGCACTTTAGGAGGCCGAGGCAGGTGGATCAGGAGGTCAGGAGATCGAAACCATCCTGGCTAACACGGTGAAACCCCGTCTCTACTAAAAATACAAAAAAATTAGCCAGGCGTGGTGGCGTGCGCCTGTAGTCCCAGCTGCTGGGGAGGCTGAGGTAGGAGAATGGCGTGAACCCGGGAGGCGGAGCTTGCAGTGAGCCAAGATCATGCCACTGCACTCCAGCCTGGGTGACAGAGCGAGACTCTGTCTCAAAAAAAAAAAAAAAAAAGAATCTGTATTCTGTATTTCAAGTAATTGCCAATTGTCCTGTCCAATTATATGATGGCTAAAACCACCACACCCAAGACAAGAAGCAAATCAAAAGCTCCCTATGATGACAGTTGTCCACCTTTTGTACCAGGTAGATATTAGTAAATATTTAATTACCCATGCAGAAATCCTAGAACTAGTACATGAGCAAACACAGCACATGGGACCTCCTCTCCACAGAAAATAAAGAGTGATATAGCAAAGGTTCAGCATTAAAAATCAAAAGAAGAAAAGAACAAAGATTATCTTAATCTTTTACATATTATATATAATATATTTAATATATATTATATATTATATATTTAATATATATTATATATTAGATATAATTTAATATATATTATATATTACATACATATTATAGATAATATATTAAATATTGTATATTTAATATTATATTTAATATTGTATAATATTTAATATATATTATATGTAATATATTATATATAATTTATATATAATATTACAACACAGTTGTAATATTTTGAAAACGCATCCAGTTTCTGTGATCTACAAACACCAATACTGCTATGCCATAAACATACCCTTCATTGTTCATTAAGTAATCCCTGCTAAAGATCCCTCTTAAGGTTACTGTCATTAATGTGAAGGGGAATCCACTGCTAGTCAATGATTGACATCAGATCAACCAAAGTCAGTGATGTAGAGGATAGGAGAGCAAGGATCACACTCCTCCAGTGTCCCTACTATTCTGAACCCTACAAATATGCTGCTTTCCCAGCAAAAATGTCCAGAATTCAGTTGTAATACAAAGTTGGAAAATCCTAGAAACCAAAGTTGGAAAATCCTAGAAACCATAGCAGCACATCAATATCCTATCACCTTCCTCTGGGCTGCAGAAAATCTTAGGTATTCTTATTTTCCTAATTTGTGGTACGAGTTCCTCCTTATCAGCTAGAGTCTTCTAAATAGATCACACACGAAAATGGCCATGATATCTCACAAAGCCATCATTAATAAGGTCAAAGCAGATGGCAACATTAACCAAAACAAACAGCAAAAGAAGCAAGCAAATTATCTAGAATGCTGATCACAGATGTAAATCTTTCTTTCCTGTGAAAAAATAAGTGTCTGTTAAGTCAATTATTTTAAATTGTGAAAGCATATATGATTTTACTACGGGCAGAAGAAAGAATGCTAATTCTTAATTGCAAAAATCATTCAAGTCTTTTAAAATCAATTTAATAAACTCTCAGTTGTATCTTAGCCCCATTAATTAATTAATTAATTAATAGTAATACCCCATTCTTCTCACTGGGGATACTGAGATCCACTTAATTCCTTTTACCTTACCTTCTGCTACGTATTATCAGAGCACCTGGGAGTTCAGTTCCAAAAGCATGTGTTATATTACATTATGGGAAGAGCTGCCCTGAGGACCAAGTTAATGGAACAAGTTTGACATGCCTTGGTAAGAGTGGTATCATCTTCTTCCTCTTTACTAACCACATCATCCACATTTAAAGAAACAATGTCAATCTTAGCACTGAAATTTTTAAGGGTCTGAAGACCATAAATGACAGATCATCATTTCAGTACTTACGACAATAAAGTGAGGTAACAATAGAAATCTGACATATACAACAAATTTCAGAGGCATAGCCATAAGATGACAAAGAATGATAGAAAATATGCAGGAAATATATCACATACTGGTTCAAATGACACCCACGCAGAGTGAGGTATGGTAAGACAGGTTTTTGGCTGGGCGTGGTAGCTCTCACCTGTAATCCCAGCACTTTTGGGAGGCTGAGGCGGGCAGATCACCTGAAGTCAGTAGTTCAAGACCAGCCTAGCCAACATGGTGAAACCCCGCCTCTACTAATAATACAAAAATTGGCCGGGTGTGGTGGTGCGTGCCTTTAGTCCCAGCTACTTGGGAGGCTGAGGCAGGAGAATCACTTGAACCCAGGAGGCAGAGGTTGCAGTGAGCCAAGATTGTGCCACTGCACTCCAGCCTGGGCGACGCAGTGAAACTGTCTCAAAAACAAAACAAAACAAAACAAAACAAAACAAAACAAAAAACAGGTTTTTCTCCAGATAACTATGTAAGTTGGGATTTAGTCCAATGTCAAAATTCATTCAGTTTAACCAAGTGATGGTAGAAGGTTTCAGAAACCAGATCTTTAGAATGTTCAAAAACATATAATGATTGACTAAAATTCACCTAGAGCAACCATTTCCAAACTGTCTTAATTGTACCCCTATTAATTCCTCAGAGCTGGTGCCCCAAGGGCTTCCAATATGGCTGCAGGTAGAGTCTGCTTCCCACCCTCACATAACCCCGAACAGTACTGATTTTGGCTGTTTTATTTCTTGGGTTGCACATCCAATTCTGTTAATGGAACAAACTCACAGTCTGAAAAACATTAACTTGGAGTGACAGCAAAACAAGCACACATGTATACTGGGAATTCCAACCCCATCTACATAAGCAACCTGAGTTCAAAATCAAGGCTGCCTAGAGGCCAGCCCTGCCACACCCCTTGAATATGTCTCCTCCTGGAAATGCTCTACTTACACTTTTCATATGACCACCACAGCTTTTAAGCAATATTAGGAAGCATAAAAGAATACAGCTCAATCACAGATGCCTTAAGTAAGTCACATGATCTGACCGAACGACGGCCTAAGATATTAGACTACAGTCTCAATTCTAAACAAAAGAGCCATGACATCTGCATCCCATAGGTGATTTGGATAATCAAATATGATCACTGCGGCCCTTTGGAAGTGAATAAAATGGCCTAACAAAGCACTCTATGCCATCAAAAAGGAACTTTTCCAATTGAAGGCCATCCCAGTATCATTCTAGTGCTTTCAGAACATGCAAGACCAATGTTTAAACACTAAAATGAACCTCCTCAAATCATTATTCATCATCATAATCCCCACTGAAATAATTTGGTAATGGAACTTTTGACAGAAGTGGCATGGTCTCTCCAGTGGCAGGAAAACAAGCCAAGCCATACTTTTCTGATACCTGACTTCCCATACTCACCATACTATCTACACCAGGGAGGCCTACTCAACCAGCAGATTAAAGTTCCGTTCTACTCAGGGAACAGCTGAGCTGTGGGCTGCTGATACTGTCAGCAGAGGGCTCTAGTCCTTACTATCAAGCATCAGGATTAGGCTGGGTCTCAACTCCAGGTCAAGGACACTAAAGTCAAAATCCAAATAATCAAGGAGAGGCAGGATTGCAGGAATCAAAATCAGGTTAACAGGCCAGAATCAGCAAGACTCACATCAATGAAACAGTAGAGGTGAAAGGGTAGAGCTGAGGTTCAAAAGAACAAGACAAGTTAGGCAGATCTCCAACAGAAAGAAAATACTTGAAACTCTTGCATACCAGGTCACATTGCTAACTCAGTCCGGCCTATGCACCTACCCTCAAACAACAGATCTGTTTTTCCTGATTAACCCAGATAATTTCTCAAGCAGAAGACTGAAAAGTCATCATAATGATCCACAATGACAAATTTAACATGACACATTCTTATTCCCACCTACCTGCTCAATATTATTCAGTTCTTCAATGAGATGACAGCTTTATTACAGTATTAACCCTTCACACAACAATTCAGATTCCACTGCCTGCCATCATCTTTAGTGACAGGTACTTCAGTCCTTATACTCCCTCTCATTTTCATTCTTACTTTTTCACGTTTCTTTGGTTTTTCGCACATATTCTACAAACATGAAAAGGGCATGCATACCTTCAAGAAGTCAATCTGGACATGAGTCTGCTAGAAAACAACAGGGAAGCTGGTACTCTAGGCATGCAGGATTTTTTACACTGCAGGCAGAGTCAGGTGGAGAATATACTGTCAGGCATCAGAGGCTTACAGTCATTCTTCCCTCTGTCAGCCATCTGAGCTTGTAAGCCCATGGTCTAAGCTGTGACATTTCATTTACTCTCTTTTCTCCTGTGTCCCTAGATTTTCTGTGGCATCCTGATTCTGACTGATGATGCTAGGTGTTTCTCCCAGATCTGAATTACCCTAGCTCAGAAACCTAATCCTAACTGCCTCTTCAAACATTTGGTCTGAACTCTGGGCTTTACCCCGCTACATTTAACCAGAGAGCTGGTTAACATATAGATGAGGTACTCCTCATCTATATGTTAATTGATGTGTTGTATTGCCATCCTCTCCCATTTCCACCTGCCAGAGAGCTGAGCAGGCACCTACTTTATGTAGAGGACAGTGACTGTTCATGTCTAATGTTTTCATTCAGTGGTTACCCCACCACCGTGCAAAACAGGACACTAAATAAATGTTATTTGTAAAGGATACTGATCACAGTTAGAAGTAAATCCCTGGTAAGAGTTGAAGGTTGTTCTCCCTGAGCTTTAAGAAACCCCAGAGGCAACACTGGCTTTGCCCTAGGCAGCCCTAAGACTAGTCATTCAGGCACAAGTATACAAATTACTCCCACTCACAGGAGAGCAAGACCCTTTTCCCAAGCACGTGCAATTAAAACTAAAGGGTAAACCATGTTCACATCTTAGGTCCTAATGCAGAAACTCACCGATAGCTTGGGAGACTGTCCTCAAACCAAACATCAAAAAATTGTTTTAAGTATAACTCTTACAATGTTACCTCACTAAATCTGATTATATCAAAACTGATTTTTAGATTAAGTCTTTGGGGTAATTAACTCTGGTTACTAAGAAGTCACCTTTTTCAAATATTTCTTATATATGGCAAAATAAATTTGGGGAAGGAATTCCTCAGAACTAAAAATGAGGAATAATACAAAGAAAAAAATCAAGCTAATATCACAGTTCACTTTTCTACAGATATTGCAAGTAAATCTTAAGGATCATTTCCAGCTTAACATCTAATAATGCAATCCTTCTTTATTCTCAAAGTGTGTATTAAGATGTTAGCACAGAGTTACTTCAAGCGTGTTTCTCATTTCACCAACAGCAATGGAAAGCTCTCAGCTGTGTGAACCACCGTCTCATGGTTCCTTTAAAACCGTAAAGTCTCAAATCAAACACCTCCTTAATCATACATTGATTCTGTATATTTGTGCCTGTCAATCCAGTCAATGTACCTAAATGAGGAATGAATGAACTCTCTCAAGTGTGATGAAAGACTATTCTTCTTTGAAGAAACCAATAATAAATGCATTCTTTAATTCAGAGATGGCATACATCTGTCATCAATTGGTATCAAATTTTAATGCATATTAATGCAAAAACACTTATTCTTCCAGTATTAATGAAGTCATGGAATCCAAAGGTACTCCTCAACTATATGTTAATTGATGTGTTGTACTGCCATCCTCTCCCATCCCCAACTGCTATGCTTGTTCAAGAATTCGAGATGGTAAACGAAGCTAGGTAGTACCATGTGGTGGGTATACATGTGACAGCAACCAGTTTGTAGGTCTCATGACTGCCTTGAAAGTTCTTCAAGTACAGCTGGGATTTTTAATAGCATCCCAACTGGAACTGTCACAGTAGCCAGTAGCCACTGATAATGTAACATTACAAATGATGGACAACAATTTCCTATTTTCATTCTTGAATTCCTACAAAACTTGAGTAAGCATTATACAACCCAAAATATTATCAAATTAATCAGTGAGAAAAACTTTTAAGTGTCAAAAGGAAGTACCCTCTTTACCTTTATGACCTTTTTAACAATGGCTAAAATCAATCCATATTACTAAAATGTTTAATAATGTTCATCAACAAAGTTGAAGCACACATAACACAAACTGTAAAAAGCAGGAAATAATTTTTTAAAATTACTTTCCCTAGTACCTGAAAGAAAAGTTTACAACTTTAACTATATAGGAAACCTTTCCCTTAAGATCCAGCCAACTAAAACTGGATGTCACACACAGGTAGCACAAAGGGACAACACAACATTCATCCAGGAGTCTAAATAAAATGACTCTTTCCACTTACACTGCAGTGGCACAAAATAGGAATACAGAAATCATTTCACATTCCAATAAAACATTTTATTTTAACACATAATGCAGAGTTCTTCACCTGTGCATCTTTAGAGGTCTACGGTTTGTATACAAAATGTTGTGTATATACACCTGCCTATGAAAAGTCTATAGTTCTCACCACATTTTAAAAATACAGCCAAAAACAATGTTAGGAACCCATAGAGAGAATCATAAAAATTTTCCCTACCACTAATTTAACATTACTTTCATATGACCCAGCAAAAAGAAATGCTCAACAGTGAAGGATACTAAAATAGTTACAGTAAGGTTTGGCTCACAACAGACTTCTACACAGAAAGCATTTTATTTTAATTTAAATTCATTCTCAAATGTCAAGAAAAAACTAAGGACTCTTATCAACCACTCTGACAAACTCTCAAAATAGGACACTAATAGGAAGATGATTAGCTTGGACTATATGCAAATCCATTCTGAATTCTTGTAAACTGAAACATTTTTGTTCCCATAGGAATTTTAAGCTCAGAGAGGGTATGGCCACAGCTAGCTTTTTTTCCTTTGTTTTTGCAAGTTGTTCCCCCTGTTGCTGATTTTCCTGAAATATCTTACATACAGCAAAGATTTGTTAAACATCTAAACAAACAAATGAATAAATTACAATTACATGAAACTAGGAGTCAGATGGAAACCACCAGTTCTTTACAGGTACCAGCATAAGCTTGCCAGGTATTGTCTATGGATCAAATCTCTGTTTCTGGCCATTTTTTTTTTTTAATGAACATATTAAGTGGCACGACACAATAAGGACAAAATGTGACAACATTATCACAAGGTATGCATTTCAGTACAACTTTAAAACCAGGGAACAGGGCAGTACTGAGTAGAGATGAAATAAACAAACAGAAGCCGAGCCGGTCAGGACCGAGTAAGGTTGAGGTTAGTGGCAACAGCATGTGCGTGGTTTCCAGGAAACCTTCAGTAAGACTGCTGTTAGCCCTAGCCCCGCACCTTGCCCAACCCAGTGTGCTGCGTCTTCTTCCAGCTCCCGCCTGGCTCAGTGCAGCACTGCCCTGCTCCCAGGGGTGCAGCCGCCCAGCCTGAACTCACCTTGGCAGTAGAAGGGCCTGAAGTTTAAAACATGTTAATGCATCATGCCAAAAATGCAATCAACATGCACACTTCATACACTCATGTTTCCAAAGAGATAGAAAATGTGCCACCAATAAGAAACCTCTACACAGAACACCCTCAAAGGAGTTGGAGAAACAATTTTTTAAACACCCACATTTACCACAAAAGTAGGAACACAACAACAGTGGTATTACTGCACCATGAAATTTCACCTAATGGATTAAAGTACCAAAAATAATCATGGCATCACCTACTTTAACTGCCATTATTTGCCCACTTGGTTTGTGGACCATTTTGTTGACAGAACCATAAGCTCCTCGTCCAATTTCTCCAAGGTCTTTCAAGTCCTCTGCAGTGAAATCCCAGTGTTGTTCAGGGGAGATCTTCAGTTTTCCTGATGACTCAATGCTGTGTGTTCTCAGTCTCTCTCTGTTAAAATATTGGGAAGCAATTTTTCCACATTTTAAATAGGTTTTAACTTTTTTCTTTTAGTACTGATTAATGTGTGGGAAAAATGTTTTCTAAATTACTAAAATAGTCTGACCTCCAGGTTTTTGAAGTTTTTCATTTGTGTCATCCTGGTTTTTTACACACTGGATTAAGAATGATCTAGATTTAGGTAGTCAATAGACACAGCTTCAACGGGATTCATAAAAACAAATTGCCAAGAAGATTTTTAAAAATTCCCATTTATTGATTAAACTAATTCTGCAGATCAGTTTTCATTTCTAAATATAAGATCTTATTCAAACTTGGATGATGGTTTATCCAAACAGCATTATCAAGTGAGAATCCCAAGAGCTGCAAACCTTATTGCGAAAAAGTTCTTACCCTATCTTACCCAACATTAGTTATTCCAGTGCCTCAATCTTCAGTTAGTACAACTATTCCCAAGGTTTGCTGTACCTTACAATCACCTGGGGGAGATTTTAAAAATCTCAATGCCCAGGTATCGTCCCATAGCAATTACATCTGAATTATCCAGGGACAGGAGTCAGAAAACAGTATTTTTAAAGACCCCCAGATGATTCCAGTAATGTTTGGGAACTAGTGCCTTAGTATACTGTCCTGTTCTTGTTAATACCATCCTGAGGTGGGAGAACAGTTAACTGAATAGCTAGCTGGCTCTAAGAGGAAAATTGCCATGTGCTATTCAAAATTGAAATTTTCAGCCCTCGTTCGATAAAGCAATGGGATAAAAAATGAGTGGCTCGTAGACAAAAGAGCTCACTCATTACATATTTCCATTAAATAAAAAATCATCTCCAAAATCTCAACCTGGAGATCAAAGTATTAATAACTTCTAACCATGCTTTGTAAAAAAGTAAATCCAATGAAAAATGTAAAATCAATCTGTTTCTCTCTCTTGCTCTCTCTCACACACACACCAAACCCCAATGTGTAGGAACAAACTATCAACCATACACACAATGAAAGAATTCATTAAATATCAACTACATTTTTCAGTTTCATACTAAATGATCAGGATCTCTTTTAAACTCTGATCCTATGATGCAAACAAGCAAAGTTTATGTGCTTGGTCATTATTTTTCTTCTTCCAAAATTTAGGAAAGTTTTCTCCAATTAGTAGAATGGTTTTCTGTAGCAACCTTTAAGGTTCCCAAAAAACTTAGAACTTTAAAATCTACCCCCACTCTGAGAATAATCGTATGTACTAATATTAAGGTTCAAAGTTACACTTCAAAGATTCATACACTTGGTCTAAATAACAATTTACTAAATCAGTGTTCCAAATAACAGACTTTCAAATCATACTAAGTGATAAGCTTTCATTCATACAAGTGCTTTTCAGTTCAAAGTCCTTTCACCCATATTATTTGATACTCTAGCATCCAGAATCACAAGAAGCCCGGAAATCAGTGGCATAAGTGACCATTTAGGTGAAGATGAAGCTGGAACTGATCTTTTAAGATGGAAATCAGGTCTAGGCAAAAATAGGAAACTCTTCTTGGTAATCTTTTTCATGAAGTAGACAGATTAAGCCTGAAAAAAGTTCTAACATGAAGAAGTTCCATGTATAATGATTATTGTTCTATAATCTTTGGCAAGTAAATACTATCTCAATGGCAAAATCACTGGTGAAATATACAGCACCAATCTACCACTGAGGGAAGCTGAAAAAAAGTTAATTAAAATTACTTGTAAATCAGAAGCAAAATTTTTTACAGTGTTCGCTAATTGAAGGGCTGTGGCAGACAGGCTCCAGGAAGTCCTCATGATCCCCACCTTCTTAGTGTTCGTATTTTTGTGTAGGCATATTTCTTTGGGTGTGAGTGGGACCTGTGACTTACCTCTAACCAAGAGAATATGGTAAAGATGATATAATATGACTCTCATGACTACATTGCTATATAATACTTATGCTAGCATTCTTGAGAACTGAAATGAAAGATATTTCATTACTATATAGAAATTACAGAATGAAAACAGTTACAATATTATGTCTTATTTTAAAGATCAAATTTTAGTATTATGGAATATCTCTACTAATAGTTTAGCTCACTGTAGTTTCTTTTTAAAACTGAATAAGTTGAAAGCGAAGTGATACAGGGTACCTACTTGGGCTAATATCCAAAAACTGAATAAGGTGTCAGATGCACAATTCTGTAAATATACTAAATATACTAAAAGCAAATGAACTATACACTTTAAATGTGTAACTGCAGAATATGTGAATTACATCTCAGCAAAGCTGCTAAAAGAGGAGAATGTGATTCCTACCCAGAGTTCCAAGTTTCTCATTTAGAAAGAAAAAGTGCTGTAAAAACCACAGAAAAACATGCCACAGTTATGACATCACCAAGGCATGTTCATACATTCGTCTTTATACTGGGCTAGCGATCTTTCCAGCAAAACTGAGTCCATTTCACAGCAATTGCTTTAACAGTAGGTACAACCACAATGGCTTCCACAGGACTATACACAGATACAGCACTGGACTGACTAGATACAGGAACTGGACCAGAACCTTTCCATTAAACTCTGGAGTCAATCAATTTCTGTCCTAAACTACGTAAGAGGCCTAGGAAAGAAAGAACATAAACAGTAGAAAACACACCCAATGAGAAGATTGGTGAAAAATACAAACCAATAAAGATGTAAAGTTGCCCTTACTTGTTCATAAATATTTGCCTACAATTATACTCTTAAAGAAAAAAAAAGTTCCCTGACTTTTCCTTGGGATATCACTTTCTTCAGAATGGGGACTATATTTTATCAAAAATAATTCCTAGTACAATTGGATTGTTTGTAACACAAAGGAAAAGTGCTTGAGAAGATGGACACCCAATTTCCCACGATGTGATTATTACACATTGCATGCCCATATCAAAACATCTCACATACTCCATAAATATATACACCATGTACCCCCCAAAATAAAAATAATTCCTAAATATCCCTCATCTTTCCCTTCATAATTTTCTGTGCATTATTTTATACAGATCACCCTTACCTGCCTCCAATGAACACTACATAAGGTTCCAACCCCAAGGTTCTCATTACCAACCTGGGAAACTCAGACAACAGCCGCTGTGGCAGTAACTATCAGCTGTCACCCAACATCCATTCTCCTCTTCATCCTCCCTAACAGGATCCTCATTTATGTGTGGCAGCAATGCACCCAGCTAAAAGGCTACATTTCCCAACTACTATGAACTGAACTGTGTTTCCTCTCAAAATCCACATGTTAAGGCCCTAACCCCAAATGTGACTGTACTGAAGACAGGGCCTATAAGAAGATAATGAAGGTTCAATGAAGGTTAATGAAGGGTGGGGCCCTAATCCACTGGGATTAGTGTCCTTACAAGAAGAGAGACCACAGAGTTCACTCTCTTCTCATATGCACAAGAGGTCACTTGAGCTCAGAGTGAGAGGTGGCCACCTATAAACCAAGGCAGGACGCCTCAGGTTAAAACCTACCTTGCCAGCACCTTAATCTTGGACTCTCCAGTCTCGAGAATTGTGAGAAATAAATTATGTTGTTTAAGCCACCTAGTATGTGGTATTTTGCAGGCCAAGCTAAGTCACCAACATTCCTTGCAGTTAGAGGTGGAAAATAGGAACACAGTACTTAAAAGGAGCTAACTCAGTTGGAAAAAAGACTCTTTTTCTTTTCCTCCAACCTCCTTCTTGTTGCCTGGAATGTAGGTAATGACTAGAGCTCCAGCCACACTCAATGCCCTGCAGAACTGAAATAATGTCCTGAGAATGATGGAGCAGAAAATAGCATTGACTCCAATAACAGTGAAGCTACTACACCAACCCTAGCCTGCTTATCTCCGGACTTTTCTATGGAAAAGTGAAATAAACTATCTGGTTTAAGCCACTATTTGTTCCTATCCTTGTTGTTGTTTAGATGCAAACAAACTTAATTTTAATTAATACAGCCCCTAGCATTATTTTATTTCCCAGGGATTCTCAAAGGAGGTAGTGCCCGGACACCTCCAGCATCAGCAGCAGTTTGGTCATCCCAATCACTGGGAAGTGCAAGCAGCATTTAGTGGCTGGGGGCCAATGATGCTAACTGTCTCCAAATCCACAGAGCAGTTCCAGCAACAGGCCAAAAGTATTTCCTTGAATAGAATCTTAACTCTAAGACTATACTTTCAGGGGTCATTTCTATAGTTCATTACTAGAGAAGTTTCTCTGAACATGCAGAGCACCTAAGATGTTTCCGTTCTCCTGAACTCATTCCTGATGTTTGATACCCTGGTTAAAAACAATTCAGTAAAGCATCCTGCCTCAGAATGACTTTCCTATCATCCTTCATGTGTCATTCCAAGGTTTCTTCATAAGTCATTCCAAGTTCTCTAGTCCATACCACAGTACCCTGCAAAAAACACATGAATAAAGCAATACAATTTGATTAAGATACACACACAAAAAATACACACACACACACACAAAATACAAACACACAAAAAATCCGTAACTCTGGTGTCCCTGATTTCAGTGCCTTACTATTCCACATCTAATAATTCTTGGTTCCCAGAGACTTAACAGTTCCACATTCTAGAGAAAACACATGCACATACACCCAGAAAAACTGCCACAGGTGTTACAGACATTCAAAAGAAGTGAAATATGAATGGTCCTAACTTTTGCGAAACATGCAAGATTATAGATAGAATACTTAATATAGGGCATGAATTCATATAATACAGGCCTTATTAAAAGTACAACTCAATGTACAGAAATTATATTTTGATATCAGAGATTTATCTTGTTAGATTAAAATCTGAAAACTAATTTTTTGAGGCTACATGTTTGCAGTGAAGTCCTTCCCGATTATTAATTTATCTTCTGGATAGAAATGACAAATATATCTGTTAACTTAAATTTAATACTGAATTAACACTACTGTATTTTAGTTGTTGTCCCTTCATTGACCCAGACTAATCTACTAGTCTGAAATTTCTGAAATCCTACAGACTAAACACACACACACACACACACACACACACACACACACACACACACACAGAACTGTGACATAATGTCCCAGAACATTAATCAGACTGGACACTGAGAAAAGCTGTATTTCTATACAATGTCTAATAAAGCTGCCTGGAACTTCATATATAGGCAGGTGGCCTTGTTTTGTAAAGAAACACAGTGGCCAGTCAAGTAGGGTTATTAGAACAGCTCTAGCCACATCCTCCACCTTCACTCCCACCCTCTATTAGATGCAGTGTGTTTGCTGTGCAAATTCAGCAGCAGTACCAGTACTTGAACCTCTTTTTCCAACCAGACACCGAATCTAAAATCCCTCCTAAAGCTACAAAGGTAGAAGATAAAAAGGAAAATGGAAAAATCAATCATAATCCAGAAAAAAACCACTATTAACAATTTAGTACATATTATTTTGTATCTTTGTATACTATGGGAATAGGTTGCAAAAACAGCATATTATACCTACTGCTTATAGATTTCACTTAATATATTTTAACACAGTCATTAAATAATTGGTTATCACTACTGGAATGGCTGTGTACCAAGTCTGCACTGATTTAGGAGTACTATCAGCCAAAAGGTGCCCACTGTACCTAGTCAACAGCACCTTTTTCCTCATGCCAATTTGAAAGGTGTTAGGGTTAGATCATTCTTTTCAACTGCTAGAGTTGAACATTCTTAAGCTATCTGGTGAACAAATATGTCTTTTTTGTATTATTATTAACTGCCTGAGATAGCGCCCCTGAGCCTTCCTGGCCCAGGTGTTTGTTTTGTTATCGCTGCTTCTACTAACAAGTTCCTTACCTATTAACACCATCAACCCTTGTCCTGCATTGCAAATATTTTCCCAGTTTGTTGTTTACCTTCCCTTGTGTTTATGAATTTACATTTTTAAAAAATTCAGTAATTTGTATGCTTTCAAATCAATGACTGCCCTCAAATTCTTTTCTTTTGCTGTCATGCAGTATCATTTATATTCACAATTGCATCAAAAGGGATTTCACTCTACCACTGCTTTTCAGGTCCCTAGTTATGTCTTTTCCTCATCTGCCCCCTTTCTATAATCTTGTTGCGTATCCATCCAGTCTGTTCTCTCCTCGAGATTTTTCCAATCCATTTTTATAAACGCCATGACTTCTTTCACTGTATTAACAATGTCAGTCACTATTGTAAGAAACTATTTTGAATCCTGCAAGATATCTTGTTTGGAGATGCTCTTTCTCAAAGTCTTCAAGATATTATTCCCTAGTTCCACAATTCCTGTTTCCATCTCACAGTGAGTGTCAATGTGGCACCTCCACTTGTCCTACTATGAAGTATCAGGAGACAGACTTACCCTCATACCTAAAACAACTGAAAAAAACAGACAGAATATATAGGCAATCTGGAAGACACTGGAAATCATCAGGAAACAAAGGGCAGCAGACACTGAAAGACCGGAAATATGTAAGGTGAGCCCTACAAGTGTCCCCAGCTTACTGCTGAAGAGTTCACCAACTGTGATACAGGGAGCGGGGATCCAGGAAGATCCTGGCAGTACCCTTGAGTTGCGGACAAGGATCTGGGAATCTAGGGAGACCAAGGTAGCCAAAGTTCACATGGCAGAGTACAGGATAAGAGACAGCTACACAGAAAGAGAACCCCACCGATATGCAGAGGGCCCTCCTTGATCAGCGGATGATTGTGAGGAACCTATACAAGCCTGAAGAATAAGCCACCTAAAAGGATTAAGAAGGCATGATACCCAGGCTCATACAAGGCAGCTCCTATTCTTAGCCACTGGAGTGGAAAGCTTCCTGATTGGAAACCAATAAAGTAGTTAGAAGGATTTTACCTTACTAGTAAGGCAAAATTAGCTCTAGAGTAGTCTCATCTGCGAAAGCTAAAAAGCAAGACCTGAAAGGATCAAACTATCTCCAAGTAACTTAACCAAAGAACAAAACTCAAAAACATTCATGAAAATACAAAAACAGCCATCACACAATAATCTCTGGGATGCAATCTAAAATTACCACAGTATACAAAAAAGCAGAAAAACATGACCCATAGTGAAGAGAAAAACATCAATCAATTGCAACTGACCAGAAATGACAAAAATACTAGAATAAAGACAATGAAACATTTACCACGTTCCATATATTAAAAAAACGAAAGGATGGATAGAGTATGTTAAATATAGACGTGGAAGACAGAAAAAATAACCAAATCAAATGTCTAAACACAAAAACTACAACAAGAGGCCAGGCACAGTGGCTCACACCTGTAGTCCCCGCACTTTGGGAGGCCGAGGTGGGCGAATCACGAGGTCGGGAGTTTGAGCTCAGCTTGGCCAACATGGTGAACCCCCGTCTCTACTAAAAATACAAAAATTAGCTGGGCGTGGTGGTGGGCACCTGTAATCCCAGCTACTTGGGAGGCTGAGGCAGTAGAATCTCTTCAACCCGGGAGGCAGAGGTTCCCAGTGAGCCGAGATCACGCCACTGCACTCCAGCCCAGGCAACAGTACGAGACTCCGTCTCAGAAAAAAAAAAAAAAAAAATCTACAACGAGAAGGAAGAAATTCTGGGAATGACGGATATGTTAACTTGACTATGGTGATGGCATCACAGATGTACACATATGTCAAAACCTAGCAAATTATACGCTTTAAATATGTACAGTTTATTCTATGCCAATTATACCTCAATAAAACTGCTGAGAGAAGGAGAGAAAGAAAAAGAAGATTATCCTTGGGCTGCACTCTACTTGTCTGATACGGATTTGCCCATTACATGCCTATGGTTCAAAGGCAGATTTGAGATATCTAAGGCTTAGTATATTACAAATCAGAGCACTCACTGCTCCCATGGTAAATTCTCCTCTCTCCAATTTTCTTGGTCTCTAATACTGTATTCTGGACTGATAACAGCAATATAAAAATACAATCCTAAGTCTATACTGGGCAGCACTATACTGTTACTACAATCCTTCTCTACTTCCACCTAGTACACTTCACTCATAATGACACTTCCCAGATAAAATTCATCAGCATCCTCCCTCTTCCCATCTCTCCCCAGTTTTTTTCTGGTAGTTACCAGTGTGGGCAGGAGAAGAAATGAACATGAAAAGGGATGAAGTCTCTGCTATAAAAGAATCCCTGGGTAAAAATTTTCCTTATTCTGGCTGTGTTACTATTAGTATCCATTATCAGATCCTATAGGGAGTTAAGTCATCTTAATTTTCAGTGTTTCATATTTTCATCTTTGTTTCTTAATAAATATTTTAGCAGGACACTGCTACTCATATATCATTTTGTACTACAAACCTCAGATTGCTTTTACAAAGTCAGAAATTTAGTTCTTAAAGCAAATTAAAAACCAAGAGTCTCAACTACTTTTCATTTGTGATCTGTTAGCTAATTCTTAATACTATGTGAGTTGTGTTTTGAACACCTACTTATTAAACACCCTCAAGCTTACTTTTATTATTTTTGAGACACTTATTTAAACATGTCGATGAGAAAAGGAAAACAATTTTATAGAAATAAATTTTATGTATAGACACATTTAGGAACATGTGTATTTTACATAACACAAAGACCTGAAATCTAGGGTATTCATGAGTACCTTATACTGCTTAAATTTTAGCCTGTACATGTGAACTATGATCAACCAGCTCAATTTAATCCCAATCTATGCTTTATACCTGATTTTATTCTAGTTCCTTATGATATTCTTATCATATACTCATGACACTAACAGAAAAATTAAAAGTTAAAAGTCTAATTGTAGTTGGATTCAAGGGAATTTGTATCTTTCTATGAAGGTATTTAGGCATACAATTCAAATGTTTTGTTAAAGGAAGAAAATAAGAAAACTTTCATTCCCATGGCTTCCTATTTGATATTCAGAATATACATGGTCACAGACTAACAGAATTTGATTAGAAAGAAAACGCAGACTTCACTCTTGTCCTTCTAAGAAACTTCCTGAAAATACTGTATTGGGCTTCATGTTCCTCCTCTGTGCCCATAAATGTTGAAATCAAGATACACCTAGTCTGTTCCAAACTCCTGATCTACAGTCCTAGTAACACTTTCAAAAAAGTATATTAGGCTAGTTTGGAACTGCTTACTTACTCTTAGTGAACCCTAATTTGGATTAACCATTTCTATTTAATTCTTCTATGATCATCTCCATGAAGTCTGTATCAGAAGCTTCATTTCAAAGTGCGCAGGTGAGAATATAGGCAATATAAGGTGGCTTTTCTCTGCAGCTCCAGCGTCTACATTGGAATCCCTTGCCTACTATTTGATTCTTCACCATGTGAATTCATCACTTTTTAAACATTTCAGAATATACCCAAATACAGTAAATGAGACTTCCAGGGAATGCAAATAGATACCTACCACTGTTATTATGGTTTACAAATATGCCCATATGAGAAGAGGAAAATGTCACAGACCTTCTCTCCTGCCCAGGCCAATAGTTTGTATACTCCCACAATGACAAAAAGGCTCTCAACAAAAGCCAAATCTCAGGTTCACTGGTCTATACATTGGTGTGTACCTTCTACACTGCCACTCCTCTACTTGCTTATTAAGTCTACTTCTTTTGAATCATATATATATATTTCCCAGTGCCGTAATTTAGCGATGAGCCATTCCTCAAAACTGTGATTTTTGTTTTTGTGCCAACCATTTTTCATTAAAATTTCAAATTCATTTTGTTGTTTTTTTGGAGGTGGGAGTTAGGGTGAGAAAAATATGAAGAGACAAGAAGAGAACGATATGAAGCATCAGGCACTGGTCTTCATCCGTCTCCAGTGAATATTTTAGTACTCTTTCTCCTATGAATTTTCTAGTACTCCCTTTACTCTACTGCTTATGTTTGTGTCACAAAGGCTATCTTCTATGATTCAACTATGCCTCTATCACCTTGCCTTTGAAATGTGAGTTTAATATCTTCTCCAGCAGGTCAAAGGAAACACTAAGAACTGGCTATCCTTAATATACAATGTGATTTAAGAAGCCAAAACCCAGTTCTTCAATACCATCTGTAGTAGGGTGAACTATACACCACCCACCACACAAAAAAAAGATAGGTCCATCCAGAATCTCAGAAAGTAACCTATCTTTACGGATAAAATTAAAGATCTCAAAAAAGAGATTCTGGATTAGGTGGGCACTAAATAAAATAACTATCCTTATAGGAGACCAAACAAAGAAAAGGAGAAGATAGAGATGCACAAGACAGACACAGGGAAGAAGACCATAGAGATTACGGTTATGCTGCCACAAGCCAAGGAAGAGCAGCAGTACCAGAAGCTGAAAGAAAGGGGGGATCCTCCCCCAGAACCTTCGGGAGAAGCATGGCCCTGCCAACACCTTCAGATTTCTGGCCTCTAGAACTGTGAGAGAATAAATTTCTGTTGTTTTAAGCCACCAAGTTTGTGGTAATCTCACAGAAGCCTTGAAAAATCCAGTACACCATCTAAATCATGAGTCACAACCTTTTTCTGTAAAGAACCAGATAGCAAATATTTTAGGCTTTGCAAGCCACTAGTCTCCTGCAACTATGCAGCCAGATGGGTGTGGCTATGTTCCAATAAAACTTTACTTACAAAAACAAGCAAACAGGATGGATTCAGCTCATGAGCTGTAGTTTGCTGACTACATGATATAAATGATACCAAATGGTATCTAGCAACCTAAATTGCATCTATCATGCAAATAATCTAAATCATATTTTCTATATCCTTTTTCTCTTTTACATTTATAATTATGCTCTATATGATAAGCACCTTCAATTATCTGCCCAAATCCTATAGTTCTGTTTCCAGAATTTAATCTCAAGATACATTTCAGAATTTTTCTTGAAAATGGCCCACCAATCAACAGAGAGTGGAATTAGGGGCAGAAACCCTTCTAGGATTCTCTCATCACTTAGGTAAGTACGCTAAGATGGCAGCAAACCTCCTTGTTTAATATCCTGGACATCTCTCATATCTACCTATCTTTCAGCAAGTAATAGCTAATTATCTTAACAGATTTCTTTTTCCTGCACATGAGAACTTGATTTCTCAAACTTGACAATGTCTACTATTTTCCTTCAATAAATAAATAAATATCTTCTTGTGCCTAGAACCACTATCCGTAAGAACCTTTTATTATTTAATTAGTTTGAAGTATGTTTTCTCCTCTTATTTCACTATCACATTCTTCTACCTCGATCATCTGATCTTGATTTCTTCCCAATGCTATCAAATATACCTTCTTTCCCAAATCATTTCTTCCTTCTTTTTCCTAAGCAACTTTGACTGTATCAAGCCAGCATATACTAAAACGCCCCAAGCTGTTTTACTGTCTCCTCAGCATGCATATATATATATATATATATATATATATATATATATATATATATATATATATATATATATATGACTAATCTTCCTTAGACAGGAAAATAAAGGTAAGACATACCCTGCACATCACTGCAACTGTTCTTCTGTGTCCGTACTGTTACGATCTCTAGATGAATACTGCTTTATGCATCCTTCTGCAATGCAGCTCTGTTAATTCCGGAAATTTCCACAGTAAACTCGGTCTGTCAGTTACCATGGAAACTGCCTGCTTCCTGGCACTACCAACAAATGAGTATCTTTGCTGTGATCTAAGATGAGGCAAAAGGAAAAACTGAAAAATGAAATGTCCAGAAGAATGGCTCAAACATTCTAAATAGAAAATTTCAAATTCTGATACTCATATTTAGTGAACAGAATGTATTAGACAAATTAGATAAGTCTGCAGTATTCTGAAGTAGTACTGATTTATGACATACAAAGAAATGTTTTATCACCACAGAAAAGAGTAACATTAAAGAGGACAAGACAAACATTCATGTTTGCATCATGTTGCTATTGACTGTTTCCTAAGAGCTGATCCTGTGTCAGTTGTACTCTAAGTTTACCCTTAGAACAGTTTTTCTGGGCTATGCTTCTTCAAGAAAAGGTAAGGAAAACTGCCCTAAATCTATAGGTTACATGTTTTCATGAGATCCTTTCCCTGTTTAGGCCCCAATTTCCAGTGGCAGCTAAAACCTCTTCCCAAGTAAGTAAGAAATTAAGAGTAGTTTAAAGTGTATCTCAGGAGTTTTTGCCAACAAGGTAGCTTTACTAGCATTCTCAGAACATTAGACATAGCCAACCACAATTCCTTCCCAACTGCACTTTGAAACAATGCTAGATTTCTATAACATCATGCACTACCAGTTTGCTTCCTAATTATCAAGCATCTTTTAATTTTTGCCTGTCCCTCCTCTTCTATCCAACCTCTAAATGTTAGATTTTCTTGGGGCTCAGCCCTGGACACAATTTTCTCATCAAAATACATTCTCACTCTCTTCCTAGGCAACCCTTTCATCTATATGGCAGCAATTTTCAACTTTTTATCTCCAATCTACAACTTCACTTCTGGCACCAGACTCATATTTTCAACACCAGAGTATGTGATACATGCACATAAGCACAGAAACACATGTATACATAAATACATATACACACACGCTATATATATATATAATATATATATGTATGTTTTGATATCCCTAATAAAATGTCACAGGTCCCTCAAACTTAAATATTATCTAAAACTCGATCTTGCCCTATGACCCCTATTTACAGATGCTCCATACCCAGTAGTCTCCATCACAGTAATCGCAACTAAACCCATTAATTCAAGCCAGAATTCTACAAGTCACTATGAACACCTTCCTCCTTGTCATCATCTACATTCAAATTATCACCAATATTTATTAATTACTTCCAAAATGTCTTTACAGTCTCTCTACATGTACTGTCATCAATTTAATACTATTGAAGTCATGATAGGTGACTATTACGCTTTACCTACATTACCATAGTTTTATCAGGTCTCCCTAACTATATTCTTACCTCCTTTCAGTACATAGTCCACACGGCAGCCAGAATAATTACTTTAGACTGTAAATAATCAGTTTAAATTGTAAATCACTGACCTACTTACAACTTTTCCATAACTCCCCACTGCACTTTGGATGTCATCCAGCTCTTTATCTACAAGGCCCTACATTATGTGGCCCATCTCTCCATACCTAACTGTCTCTACACCCTTAATCTAAATTTGTTTGTTTTTCCTTTCTCATTCAGTCACCCTCCATGTGAACTGCCATTCCTTCCATTCCATGACAAGTTGAATATTTCCCACCTTGATAATTTCAAATACATGCGATTCCTTCCACTTGGAACACTCATCAATCCCTTCCCCAAATCTAGTAAAACTCACTCAAGTTTAGAAGCCTTCATTGACTACATTTTCACCACCCTCCTTCTAAATTAGGCCCATATTTCATTTTCTCATAGCACCTGGTTCTCTTCCTTTAATAGCAAGTAGGTGATTATAATTTTATACACACACACGTCTGTGTCTGCCTCTAAATCTCAAGCTTCATGAAGTAACAATCACATCTCTTTTTTCAACATGAAATACCTATGCCCACACCATAGTAACTAGCAGATGGCAGACATTCAACAAACATTTGCTAAATGTATGAAAGAACACATACTGGATTGCTTTGGTTTCTGGCAACTATGACTTGCTCCCAAAGCTCTGATGTTCTCCCTGGACTCTATGAGATATCCCTATAGCCATTCCCCAAATTCCCCTTTTCTGGCATCCATTCAAACCCCAAGGAATACACCTCTTATATCTGACTTCTGCAGCTCCTCAGTCAGGAAAAAGGTTCATCTGTGTAAACCTGCAGTGCCCGCTGTACCAGTGGTCCTAAGAAGAAGCAAATTTGCACTCCAAGGTTCATTTGGTAATGTCTGGAGACATTTTGGCTGTCACTAAACATTCTACCACGCACAGGACGACGGCCTCCCACAACAAAGAATTTTCCAATCTAGTATCTCAACAGTAACAAGGTCGAGAAAACACAGCTACTTCCAGTCTCTCCTATGACAAGAAAAGGGCTGAAAATTACCAATCTATGAAGAATTAAACATTGGTTAATTTTTAAAAGTACATTTCACCAGCACAAAGTTGTTCTCTAAAACATTGTTTTTAATTCAACAATGAAAATAATCTAAATAGCTACCAATAAGGAACTAGTTAAATATATAATACACCTATACAATGTAATGAATACTATATAACTAAGAATAGGTATGTGGGTGGGGCACAGTGGCTCACCCCTGTAATCCCAGCACTTTGGGAGGCCGAGGTGGGTGGATCACTTGAGGCAAGGAGTTCAAGACCAGCCTGGCCAACATGGTGAAACCCCATCTCTACCCAAAAATACAAAAATTAGCCATGTGGGCCGGGCGCGGTGGCTCACGCCTGTAATCCCAGCACTTTGGGAGGCCGAGGCGGGCGGATCACGAGGTCAGGAGATCGAGACCACGGTGAAGCCCCGTCTCTACTAAAAATACAAAAAATTAGCCGGGCGCAGTGGCGGGCGCCTGTAGTCCCAGCTACTCGGGAGGCTGAGGCAGGAGAATGGCGTGAACCCGGAAGGCGGAGCTTGCAGTGAGCGGAGATCACGCCACAGCACTCCCGCCTGGGCGACAGAACGAGACTCCGTCTCAAAAAAAAAAAATTAGCCATGTGTGGTAGTGCATGCCTAAAACCCAGCTTCTTGGGAGGCTGAGGCACAAGAATCACTTGAACCTGGGAGGTGGAGGTTGCGGTGAGCTGAGATTGCACTACAGCACTCCAGCCTGGGCAAGAGTGAGAAAATCTCAAAAAACAAAGAAGAAGAAGAAGAGGAGGAGGAGGAAAAGGGTATGTGTTAATTCAGAAATATTTTCAAGATGTACTAAGTTACTAAGTGAATAAAAAATCAAGCTACAAAAAAGTGCAGAAAAAAACTGCTATTGTGTGTAAATATTCTTTAAGGATCTATATAAATTATGTATTCTGACATATAATAAGCTTTTCTGCAAGGCATTTTACATTTAACAGGGTTATCTTTGGAGATAAATATTAAGGGCATGAAGCTGATTTTTTGTTTTATAACTTTCTGCACCAACTGAATTCTCTTACCAGAAGCAGGTACTACTGATTTTTTAAAGGGTAACATGAACTACCTGGATGATAAGATAATGGGCCATTTTGGCTTTCTTCTTTATACTTTCTCTGTATTAAAAAAAAAAAAAGAAAGAAAGAAACAATAGTAAATGTTATTTTTAAAGCACACTAAAAACACATCCCCTCAACTTTTTAGGGGACTCTAGCTACTTAGGGGTACACTATACCTGATGTGGTGCAACAGATACTCTAGAATAATTCTCAAAAGAAACTTGATAACCTTCTTAAAAATTTCACTCTAGGGTTCTTTCAAACATTATGAAAGGGGAAACCACATGGGCAGAAATAAAATTTATCACAGTATTGTTCCACAGGCATAAAAGCTGAATTCATTAAAAGCACAGTGTTCATATATTCATCAAGTCATCTAAATTGTCGAAATACATAGGTGCTTTGAGAACAAGGACAGAAAACCACAAATACTGCTCAGTGAGAGTAAAAAAATCTATCACTATAATTTTTATTGTTACTGGCCAGGCACGGCGGCTCAAGCCTGTAATCCCAGACTGTGGGAGGCGAGTCAGACAGATCACCTGAGGTCAAGAGTTCGAGACAAGCCTGGCCAACATGGCGAAACCCCATCTCTACTAAAAATACAAAAATTAGGCCAGGCGCAGTGGCTCATGCCTGCAATCCCAGCACTGTGGGAGGCTGAGGCGGGCAGATCACCTGAGGTCAAGAGTTCAAGACCAGCCTGGCCAACATGGTGAAACCTTGTCTCTACTAAAAATACAAAAAACTAGCCAGGCATGGTGGTGTAGGCCTGTAATCCCAGCCACTTGGGAGGCTGAGGCAGGAGAATCACTTCAACCCAGTAGGCGGAGGTTGCAGTGAGCCGAGATCGCACCATTGCACTCCAGCCTGGATGACAGAGCAAGACTCTGTCTCAAAAAAAAAAAAACAACAAACACCAATAATAATAATAATAATAATAATAATAATAATATATGTATATATATAATTGTTATTGTTCAGGATTGCTTTTAAAATTGAGGCATCATTTACATAGAGTGAGATGCACAAATCATAAGCATATGTGGCTCAATGAGTTTTGACAAATGCAGACACCTTTCTATTTCACAAAATACAGCAAGATACAGAGCATTCCATCACCTCAGAAAATTCCCTGGTTCCCTGGTGCCATTCTTGTCAATCTCCTCCAGAGGCAAGCACTGATCTGATTTCAATCACCACAGATCTGTTCTGCCTACTCTAGATTTCATAGAGATAGAATCAGTATGTTCTCTTTTGTGTCTCGCTTCTTCTGCTCAGCATTTTCAGAGATCCATCAATATGACTGCAGGTATCAGTATTTTCTCCACTTTATTGAGGAAGAGTATTTTGTTAAATAATATACCATAATTTGTTTCTTCATTCTTCCATTATTGAACACTCTGGGTTCTTTCTAATTTGGCGGCTATTCTGAATAAACTTTCTATGAACATTCACTTACAAATCTTTCTGAGAGTATTTTCATCTTAGGCAAATAACAAAAGGTAGGACTGCTGGGTCAGGGGCAGGTGCTTGTTTCATTTTATTAAAAACCTAGCAGAGTTTTCTAAAGTGGTTGTACCATTTTCTGCTTCCTCAACAATATAGGAGAATTCTGCTTACACCACATATTTGCCAAGATATTGCCTGGTCTTTTAAATTCTAGCCCTTCGGGTGGAAGTGTAGTGGTATCACCTTTTTGTTTTAGTCTGCATTTCTCTTATTACTAATGTTCTTATGGCTGTTTCTCATATACTTATCATCCATTCCAATGCCTTCTTTGTGAAGTGTCTATCAGAGTCTTTAAACCATTTTTCAAATTGGGTTCTTTGGGCTGGCCCAGCGGCTCAATGCCTGTAATACTAGCACTCTGGGAGGCCGAGGCAGGGGGATCACTTAAGGAGAGTTCAAAACCAGCCTGTGCAACATAGCAAGATCCCACCTCTACAAAAAATTTTTTTAAATGAGTCGGGTGTGATGTAATGTGCCTGTAGTCCCAGGTACTCTGGAGGCTAAGCTATGATGCACTCCAGCTTTGGTGACAGAGTGAGATTTTGTCTCAAAAACAAAAAAGTAAACTGGGTTGTTTTGAGTTTTGGTTTATTATATATACAAAAGTCCTTTGTCAGATATATATATATACATTGTGAATGTTTTCTTCTAGTCTCTTTCTCTCTCTCTCTCTCTCTCTCCCCCCCTTCCCCTCTCCTCCTCCCTGCTTTCCTCCCCGCCCCCCGCCCCCTGACAGAATTTTGCTCTTGTCACCCAAGCTAGAGTGCAGTGTTATGATCTCTACTTACGGCAACCTCCGCCTTCCAGATTCAAGCAATTCTCTCGCCTCAGCCTCCCAAGTAGCTGGGGTTACAGCCATGCGACACCATGTCCAGCTAATTTTGTATTTTTAGTAGAGATGGAGTTTTACCATTTTGGTCAGGCTGGTCTTGAACTCCTGACCTCAAGTGACCCGCCTGCCTCGGCCTCCCAAAGTGCTAGGATTACAGGCATGAGCCACTGCGCCTGGCCTTGCCTGTTTATTTTCTTAAAAAACTTCTGATGAGCAGAAATTTTTAATTTTGATAAAATCCAATTTATTATTTTTTAGTGGTTTCTTTGTCCTATCAAAGAAATTTCTGCCTATGCCAGATAACAAATATATTTTGGATGTTTTCTTTTAGAAGCTTTATAGAGTTTTTGCTTTTACTTTTAGGTCAATGATCCATCTTGAGGTAATTTTTGCATATGGTATGAAGTAGAAATTAAAATTTATCCTTTCAAACCTTTTTCCAGTTTGTTACATCACTATGAAAAGCCTATTTTTTTCCCACTGAATATTATAAGCACCACAGTCAAAAATAAATTGACTATACATGTGTGTTTGTCTACTGGACTTTCTATTATATTGCATTGATCTATTCGTTTATCCTTAATATCCTTCCACCAAGCCTTAATTACTGTAGCTTGCAGGTTGTACTTGTAGGCTGACTGTGTTACAGATAACCTTGAAATCAGGTCGTTTTAAGTCCCCCAACTTACTGTTTTACAAATTGTTTTTAGCTAGGTCCTTTGCATTTTCATACATATTTTAGAATCAAAATGTCACATTACACATATTTTAAAAGTCTGATGGGATTTCACTGAATCAATATAGCAATGTCAGAAGAACACACATCCCAGATGAATAAAATAATAATAAATTGTCTTTCCTAGAATGAAAGAGTGGTTTCTAGATTGAAAGAGTCCACTGAGAGCAAACTACAAGGAAAAAGAAAGGTAAGGGGAGGAGGGAAAGGAGGGAGAAGACTGGGAAAAGGGAAGAGGGGAGGTGGGGGGGAAGAATGCAAACACAGCAAGATTTCAGAACGTGGGGAAAAAGAAAAATCCCCACAATAAATCACAAAAGAAAAAAGAGATCACATACAAAGGTTCAGGAATCAAAGTCACATCTAACCTTTTAAAGTAACCATGGAAAATAGAAAACATTGTCGAAATACAAACACAATTCTGGAGAAAAATTTCTACCCCAGAATTCTATACCCAATAAAACTGCTGATCTATTATGAGGGTTATTTATTTAAAGACATTTTCAAGGCCAGGCAGTGGTTCATGCCTGTAATTCCAGCACTCTGGGAGGCCGAGGCAGGAAGATAGCTTGAGTTCGAGACCATCCTGGGCAACATAGCAAGACCCTGTCCTCTACAAAATAATTTAAAAATGAGCCAGGGATGGTGGCACATGCCTATAGTGCCAGCTACTCAGAAGGCTAAGGTAGGAGAATCACTTGAGTCCAGTGGTTCAAGACTGCAGCGAGCTATGATAGCACCATTTACTCCAGCCAGGGCAACAGAGCAAGATCCTGTCTGAAAAAAGACAAAGGCATATTCAGGCATACAAACACCCAAAAAGCTTGAGAAATAATTAAAAACTACTAAGAAAGAATTCTTATCTCAGGAAGACTTAGAATATATACTCTACCAAAATGAGAGTGGGAAAGTGAAAAATAAAAAAAGATGAAATCCCGGAAACAGATAATCAGAATCAGGCATTCACAAAACAATGGCAACAGCCCTGTGAAGCAGACCTCAAGTGCAACCACTCCAGATTAAAGCAAGAGTATGGATGGATAGCTAACTCAAAAAAAGAAAAAAAGGGGGGGGAGAGGGGGAGAACTGAGTGACCAACTGATGTATTTAACTATGTTGAGAGAAGATTCACAGTGAACCATATATGAGGCAGTTATTAACTCTGGGGAAAACAAATTTGCTCAAGAACAATAATATAATCATACTGTTACTCAGTTGTAGATAATTTAAAAAAAAACACACTGAAAAAAGTTACCTTCATATAGCAAATTTCCTTAATAATAGATAAAAGTTTCCAGAAACATACATACTGCAAAGATAAAAGGCCTTATAATATTCTGATTGAAATCAGAACTCAAAAACATAACTGCCTGATTAGAAATGGTTGGAAAACTCATCAATAGCTAAGAAGTCAGATGTATCTTCAAGGAGCAGCACTTAGAAGTACTGTGGGTTAAAAAACCAGGGCTATCTTCTAATGTCTGCCTCAGTCTCTGATTCAAGAACAAAGATGATTTATAACACCAAAAGCACACAACTCAACAGCATGTATCATTAATCTATGCAAATACATATTCCAGAATTAGCATCCACCACCTCAGCTATAAACATCCAGCTTGAAGGGAATGTGAATCTCAAGGGGGTAGGGGCCCACAAAGAAAATCAGTTCTACCACTCCTATTACCACTGCCACCTCTGTCGAGAATCACTTCTCCAGTGAATTGCTGACTTATGGAAGTGTACCACAGCCTCAGGTACACTGAGGTGGAATGTGGGACTAAAGATAAGACTGAATATCCCTAAACTGTAACATTAAGAAGTACAATGATCTAAGCTTTAAAGATTATCCCAAACACAGCATCATTATTTACTAGAGCCAAAAGGTACAAACAACCCAAATGTCCAACAACAGATGAATGGCTAAACAAAATGCTGCATACACATAACAATAAAATAATATTTATTCACCCTTAAAAAGAAGGGTGGAGAAAGATACATTCTACAACATGAATGAACCTTGAAGACATTATTTTGAATGAGATAAGCTAGACACAAAATAAATATTGTTATGATTCCACTTATGAGAGGTACCTAAAAAGTAGTTAGATTCATAGAGACAGAAAGTAGAATGGTGGGCGCCAGGGCTAGAAGGAAGGGAGAATAAGGACTTATTGCTTAACGGGTACAGAAGTTCGATCTGAGAAGATGAAAAAGTTCTAGAGATGGATGATGGTGACAAATGTACAACAATGTGAACACAATTAATCCCAATGAACTGTATACTTAAAATGGTTAAGATAAAAATTTTTACGTTATGTATATTTACTACAGTAAGAAAAAAGATTCGCAGCAGTAGCACCAAACCAGCCACACACACACACGCGCGCACACACACACACACACACCCCATAGTATTTAACACATTTGAGATTAAACATCATCTATTAATACATACCCATAAATACTTCTACCATTACCGCTATTTTGTAAAAGTGGTCCACCACAGAAATGCAGAGATTTCACAGTATCATGATTGCTTCAAAAAATTTCAGAGACAGAAAAAAACTTCCAAATTCATGTAGATTAGAGGTATTCACACTTAGAAATCCACCAGAGATGTCCTGGGACTATTCTGGGGAATGAAGGCAGACAACGCTACAAAACTCTCTCCCACCTCACAAACACTTCAGTCAGCACAGTTCCTCCTTTATCTTTTTAGCCTATCAGTTTTGTACATGAGACTTTATTTAAAGAAGGCAGTGCAAGGCTGGCTTAATTCTCTCCCCTTCCTATTCATTATATAAAATAGTGTATGTCGCTATTCTAATTCAATGCCTAAATTGAGAGCAGAATTAAGTGATAAAGTCAAGGACACAGAGATAACGACAACACCAGGATAGAAATCCAGACTCCTAAATTTCTACCCATTGTTATTTCTTTTTAAAAACAATTTTTTTTTTTTTTAATAGAGACAGAGTCTCAACTCTTACACAGGCTGGAGTGCAGTGGTACACTGTAGCCTCAACCTCCAGGGCTCAACTGACCCTTCTACCTCAGCCTCCCAAGTAGCTGGGACCACAGGCGCACACCATCACACGTGGCTAATTTTTTCTATTTTTGTAGAAATGGGGTTTTGCCATGTTGCCCAGCCTGGTCTCGAACTTCTTGGCTCAAGCAATCCTCCTGCCTCGACCTCCCAAAGTGCTGGGATTGCAGGCGTGAGCAACTGTGCCCGGCCTCGTCATTAATTCTAAGACAGCAACGTTTATAAGACACAGTTCTCACAATTTAACCAAGAGAAGAAGAAATTCTAAGTTTTAAGATAAAGTTCTACTGAGAAGGCTCATCAAGAAATACGAGGAATATTAGTTATTAACTAGGGACTTTGAAACCTCTTTAAACTACTCCTAGATGTTCTATAGCACAACTGAGTCTCTGTCTGTTCCAATGTAATAAACAAAGATAAGGGAAATCCTAGAGATCCTCTGGTCTAAAGAGAGCACTTTAAACTTAAAACGTGTGGTTCCAAAACTCTTAAGCCCCAAAATGTTATCTGCATCCACCACTATTTATTTCCAGTGTTAACTTTTAAGCTAGTGTTTTTTCTTGACAATTGTGATATGTTATGAAGATAAAAGGGATGTTCTTTCAGAATAACAATTGTACTGAATATATTCTAAACGACTCAGTACACTGAGAGCACTCAACCATAACTCACTATCATGAAAACACAGAATGTTTAACAGAATATCTACTTCTGTTTGTCAAATTCATATACACAACATGATTTTAACACAAGCTGGCCACATTTATAAGAATATCCCTAGAGTATCAAAAAGATTTATAGTGTTTAGTAGAATCCAAACCTGATGAAAATTTAAAAGGTAGCCACACATTTTTCCTTTGCTTTTTCTTTGTACTCTTTGGCTATCCAGTTTAATCTTTCATTTTAAAAGCCAAGGGAAAAAATGTTAGTGGGTACAAGAGTCTCTATTATAATATGCATTTTCTGTCAAAAATATTTCTAATTTTAATCATTGATAATTAAAAATCAAGGTTTCCTGTTCAGGTTGTCTCCTCATCCTCCAAGATCCCCCCAAAAATCCTTTTTTTAAGGAAATAAGCAATAAATTAAAAGAATTAAATTTCTGAATGCCTGAGTAGATAAAAATGTATCACAAAGAAAAACTAATCGATTTCAAGAGAAGGAACTCTAGTTTAAAAGACTGATCAGCTAACTGCATAGAATGCAGGACCTTGTATAGACCTCACTTCAAACTATTAAAAATAAAAAAACTAATGAGGTCATCTGCTTATTTGATGATATTAAAGATTTATTCTACTAGATGTAGCAATGGTACTATGATTATGTCTTTTAAAAGCAGCTCTTATCTTTTATAAATGCATACTAAAATATTTGTAGATTGCATAACATCTGAGATTTGGTTAAAACTAAGGGGTTGAAGGAAAAGATAAAACAACATTGGCCATGCTATTAACTGTTGAAGCTGTTAAAGCTGATTGACAGTAAAGACAGATTCATCTACCACTTTACTTTTGGGTAGGTATGCAATTTTCCATAATAAAAGGTTTAAAAATAAACAGAAAAAACTATAACCTATAACACATGGTAGGAGGCAGGCATGCAGTGAATATGAGGGACAAATCATGGTCCCAATAGAACACTGGATCAGAGAGAATTCATGGTCAGAAGAAATGAAGGCCTAGAAACCAGAGTTAATTAAACTTCTTTCTATAAGGAAGTTCTAGGCCAGGCGCAGTACCTCATGCCTGTAATCCCAGCACTCTGGGAGGCTGAGGCGGGAGGATCCCTGGAATCCAGGAGTTCAAGACCAGCCTGGGCAATATAGTGAGACCCTGCCACTTAAAAAAAAAAAAAAAAAAAGAAAGGTCTAGTTAATTCCACTTTTCCTCTTTATTCTTCCCCTAAAATAAAAAGGGGGCATGTCTTCAAAGAGAACAAACACATCTGGAGAGAACCAGGCTTCCTAAGGTGAATTTTGGCTCTACTAATTCTAGCATTGGTAATATTCCTGGCCTAAGAGCTAGCTCTCAAAATACTCACAGAAAAGTAAAGCCAAGCCCACCAGGTGATGATCTATAACCAAAGCTTCCATTCAAGAAACAATCAAGAACAAGACATGAAAAAAAAATTATAAGATGTAAAAAAAAACTGAGAAAGAGGTAAAAGAAAAACTGATCCTTGAGGAAATCAATAATTCAAACAACAGAAAAGAATTTTTAAATTCCCTATTTTGTATCCAAAATTAAGAATAGAATCCTAAGAAAATGCCACAATCAACTCTTGGAAATTAAAACTGATTGCCAAGATTCCATTTAGGGGATGGAAAATAAAGAAAATCTCCCAGGATACAGAGTAAGAAAACAATGAGACGGAACACATTTTTTTTTAGAGTCTAGGATACAGGGGATATAGGCAGTCCAACATCCTAGTAACACAAGTTTCAGGAGAAGATGATAGGAAAAACATGAAGGAAATGTATCAAAAGGAAAGCAGCAGCAATTTTCCCAGAAAAAGAGATACATGAATCTTGAAACTAAAAGGGTTAATCTGATACATGGGAAGATGATGCAATTTGAGGCTTATCCTCATATAATTACAGAATATCAAGAATAAAGAAAACAGGCTAAAAGATTCCAGTGAGAGAGAGAAATAGGTAATCTATAAATAACATCCCTGCTACAATTAAACAGATCTACACATGGTTCCCAAAACTTCTCTTGTGCATACGCTCACCAGAATGCCACTGTCCCTTGTCTTCTTCACTCAACCTTCCCTGCCTGTCTTTCAAAATCCAGTAAAATCTTGTTCTTCTGGGAAGCATTTAATCAAGTAGGTTTTCTAAAATGATTTACCCCTTGTACACCTTTAATTTGACATTCAATCCATATTACCTTATGCCTTACTAAAATTACGACAGCCAATTGTCATTTCTTGGAATTTTATTTAAACTGTTGGTTCTCAGAAAAAAAGAACACTGTCTTACAATTTTTTTTTTAATCTTGCAAAGGATCCTGCATCCAGGAGACATCAAATGCCAAGGAGATCTGAAACCAGATCCTGTGACATATCTTAACTTCATTAGCTTGCTTATTTCATCTTATCTTTTCCTAAATTCATGAACAAGTTTTATATTCACATCTGTAATTATTAAAGTTCAAGGAAATTTTAGGAGAAAAAACATATAAATGTTAAGAGATATCTTATTTCAAAACTCCCACAAACTACAAGTTATGTTTTTCTAATTGCAAGTACTCATCCTAAACAGAAACTAACAACTGTTTTTAGTGCTTGATGGCAAACAACTCAGAGGAAGAGTACAAAAGGATACCTTTTGGAAGGGGCTGGGAAGGTAGAGGAGATAATGTTGTTCTAAGTAATAAAACAGTTATCTCTGACCAGTAACAATGCTAGTAGTTACCTATTCCTAACCCAGAACAATTGACCTGTACAATAAAAAACTTACAACAAAGTCTGGGTCTAAAATTTTTACATACCAGAATCAAGCTCTAAAGATTCTATCATAAGGTAAAACTACCTATTACCATGTCCTTTCAAATTTTAAATACTTGCTGGGAAGAAACAAAGGATGAGAAATCTAGCTGGCTATAGGTTTATTATAAAACATTAGTTAAGAACAAAACAAAAAATAAAACCTGAACTCAACTTTGGAAGAAAGTTTTTTTCCACCCTGTGTTTACTATTTTTTAAAAAATTTTGCTCCATGAATTCCACATACATAAAGAAACTCCAGAGGGAAGACAGTACAAATAGATGAATGTTTTTCCAGTTTTAATTTAAGTCAGGTTGTCTTTCTCCTTGTCCAAAAAGGCTTTTAAAAAAGAAAGATCTGATAAGTTTGGTGATTACTGCTATATCCTTTCCTTCTTAGACTTCCAACATATGGTTCAGCTAGTAACTAAGGTAACAGAAGGGGGCTATGTTAAAGAATTAGTTTTGCACTAGCTTTCACTACAAATTCTAAGAAATAAGGAAGGAGGTTCTTTTAAGAATTGTTTCCTTGCTGCTGAAATTCTGACTAATTAATAAGTACTAAGTTTCCTTCCTCAAGATAGCCCCTACTTGATGTTTCAGAGAAGGTAAAAAGAGTGGGACTCTAGGCTGAGCTCTGACAAGAAGTGTGATTATGAACACCAGTCTAATAAAATTAATAGACAATTGAGAAAAATAAATTGTTACTACACTTTTTATTTAAAATATCTTTCATTCCCTCTAAGGCTACAAGTGAAACTACTCCCTTCTAGACATTGCTGTTTTAAAAATATTTTAAGCATCTCTTTTGCAAGACACTACCTTCTACCAATTTGTTACTGTTTGTAAATACAATGCATACCAAATTCTGAAAGAAGAGAAAATAGCAATAAAAGTGCCTCTTTGGGAAGAATAAATGTATTTTAAGCCTAATAAGATCTAGATGCAAATTGTTGAGAAATTACTTAAAAAAAAATGTATCTGCCAGCTTTTTAATCATACCTTACACCACTTGCTTTATAGTTCTCAACATCGAAACTAGCTCAAAATTATTTTTATGGACATGGTTATAAAAGTACAGCCACTGGCCTTCATTTTCATGATAGGTTAGGATGGGAAATAAGAAGAGGTTTTTTAATATTTCACATCACTTAAATTCAATTGAAGGTTAATGTAAAATATTGTTCTGAAGGTATTGCTTTATGTTAACTAAGATGCTCTAATATTTTCACTAAGATGCTACAATATCATTTCTATTGTTTAAAAATTCAGTAAATGAAATAACCACTGATATGTGTACACTCACATGTACACAACTCTTTCAATTTACTATGACATAGAAATCTTGCAGGAATCTAGCTTATTAAGATGGGACTCTATTTTGTCACTAAGTGGTGAAAATTTGTACAGTTGGACAGAAGACAGTCAAATTTCCTAAATGCAACTTGCAATTTAACTGGAACTCCAGAAGGAAAAGAATAAACAATATTCCCAGAGAGTTTAGTCAGAGAAATTATACTGACATCTCATAATTGGAAAAATTCATAAAATACAGTAACTTTAAAATCTTTGCTTGAGTTGAGCCTTTGATTACCAAGAATACTCACATGTGTGGGTTTTGAACTCCTGTAGGATTGGGATTCAGAGTAAACCTTGCTGTAGATTTGAAAGGTGGATTTGCAAAATTCAACTTCAGTGCTTTGCGTTTACCTGAGAAATAACAAATAAAAAGTAAAAGTTTCAAGTACTACAAAACAGGTACTATTCTGAGGGCATAAGAAAGTCACACCAAAAGGCAAGAGAACTTGCTTTAACAAACAGTTAATATAGGACAATATTTTGAAAGGCAATGAGGAATTTCTTAAACTAAGAAAAAATAAAATAATCTAAAGTTGTTACTAACTACAAATCATTCACTAGGCTATGATACAATAGATAGAATGCTATCACTTCAAGTTTCCATTATTCAGGGAAGTTAATACTTTTGCAAGTGAAAATACTATTATAAAAATCAATTATCTCAGTAGATATACTGAAAAATTCTAAAAATATTACCATCTGTTCAGTGTTATACTTAATGCCCTCAGTTTAATAAATATCGTTTTCCCTCATTTTAATGAATATAAACAACAGAGTGAAGAATCTGAAAAATTTGCTAAAAACATTACGGTAGAGTAAACTTCAAGTTAGTAATACAAGTATTCTAAATAATTATTTCCATGAAGCTGTTTCTTTAGGGTAGGAAGGGAAGAGATACCAATGTTTTTTATTACCCAAGTAAAACCACCATGGTAGAAGGGCAGAAAATGCAAAAAAAGATCAAATATATTAAAAATGTTACATATACACCTATACAATACATAGGGTTAAAATTTTACATAAACTTATCAATCCAAGTATCTCAAAATAATCAGTTTACTAACTACTGCAGACTTTTTTCTATACATAGATAGGGACATGTATTTTTTCACTACAATTGAAATCAGACCATGAAAATGCTTTGTAAAATGCTTTATTCACTAACATTTCTTTCTATATCAATAAGTCTTACAGAATCATTTCTTTAGGACTTAAAAGGATACCTTGTAACAGAACTGAATTTTTTAAGCATTTGCAGCATATCTTGGTTTCACATTCACCTTAGAGACACTTTTTCCTGAACTCACTCTCTAGAGTTTATTATACAATTAACTACTCAAAAAATATCTCTGCAATCCAAACACTTTCTGACCTCAGTGGATGAGGATTTAATAGAGGGTTCAAACTGTAAATGTGAGATCTGAAAATCTGACGGAGCCACACTGGATGGAGAAGATGGCAAAGAGACAAGAGCACAGAGCTCCTTGCCACGGCCCCTAGATCTGCTTTCAAAGATAAGCCTCCTTTCTACCAGATCATGTGAATTCCCACGAAGACCAAACACATCCATTTTCAGAAATAAGGTTAGTACAGTATGACTTTTCCACATAATGTAGAGGAAGGACATTCAAACAACATGTGCAAAGGGTACACTAGGAAACATAGCAGATATGACTGTATTTAAAAAAAAAACAAAAACCCTCAGTATATTACCAAAAAACAAAACTAAAAAAAAATTGAACCTTGGGAAAACTCTTGCAATACAAAAATCAGTAGCTCTAAATATATAAAGACATCATAGAAATCAAGAAAAATAGAAAAAAAGTGATAAGAATATGAGCAGTAAAGACAAATCAAGGGAAAATATAAAAAGACACTAACACCAAAAACATTTTAAGCTTTTGTTCATATGAAAATGGCAAAGTTTGAAGGTTTTATATTATATATACATAATGATAACATGATGATCAGAATGGCTAGGTAGAAGAATCACTAATAAGATATATTGCTGGTAGAAAAACTTTCTGTGAGAGGTTCAGCAATATACAAAAAAAAAGGTTTTTTTAGTAAATATGCTCTTTTACTTCTTGAGAATTTTTCTTTAGAAAATATTTAAAGATAGAGGATTACTCCCGGGTCTTGAAACCAAATGGAATTTGCCCTGGATAATACTCAGAGTTTTACCCATGCCTGATTTAAATGATTTTCATAATGGGATTTGGGATTTTTGAGCTGGTAATATTTAGGTGAGATTTACATTTGAGTTAATACTGTAATGAGTCAAAATTTTGGAGACGCTGGGGTAGGGTAAATGTATTTTGCACATGGGAAGGATATGAATATTTGGGGCCCAGAAAACAGACTGTAATGGGCTGAATGGTGGTCCCCAAAGATACTAAGCTCCTAATCTCTGGAACTTGAACCTATTAATTACCTTAATATGGCAAATCGTTTACAGAAAAAATTAAGTTAAGGAACTTTGCTATCACAATTTGAAGAAAATCTTTACAAACTCCTCAAATCAAAAACTGAGCATATGTCATGTAGTCTGTGTTTGAAACCATCTGGCACATCATCCATTACCTCCGTGTGAAGAAAAATTAATATAAGACTAAGATAAAATGCAAGACAAGGACAGAACAAAGAACTATTGTGAAAACTATCCAAAGAAAAACAAAAATTGGTCCTTTCTTAGAAAGCCCAATTTGACGGAATAGTAGCTAACCTTACCAGATAAACAATAAAATATATTACAACAGTTAAAACTTAAACTGTTTTCTTGAATATAAGTATTTATACTGAATACACAGAGAGATTTTTTTCAGCATTGCATTCACATTTAAATAAAAACTAAATTGAAAGCTTTAAAGGCCATTAACTTCATAAACGTACACCATGATGAAGAGAATGTGATTTAAGTTACATAAATTAGATTTAAACACAGTCTACACTTCAGAGACATCTGCAATTATCTTGAAAAAGTCCAAATTTATATTCTGATCATTTACTAACAAAACACACTAAGTAATTCTGTAGGTTTCGAAGCCTTTCCAAGCAAAGATCACTCAAAGCCTAAAACAAGTGCCAACGAGCTTAGCACATGATCAAGTTACCTTGCTGGGTCTCATCTGTGTACCCCAACTCTTCAAATGCTGATCAGTTTAAGATGAACTTGAAAGGCAGTTTTGAGGAGGAAAAGGAAGGCCCCAAAATGTCAACCGAAGGTGAGATTCAAGAAAAGTAGAAAAATAGCTTTTACAATACTCAGGAGAAGCTGTTTCTGGCTACCTGGAGGCATGAGCTTTTTTTTTTTTAAAAAAAGGCATCTTCTCCTCTCCCATTCACTTTCTCTAAGTACTAGAGCCTCTACTGGGGCTGGGTCCTTCTCTCCTTTACTTCTTTTTCAAGGGTCCCTCAAAAAAATCAAAACCGAAAGGCAATCTGTCACCATGTATTCAGATATTTTTAATGACAAAAAATTACAAGCAAATAGGACATTAATATGAATTTTTTTCAAAAACTTGAAACAACTTTCACAGGGAGAAAGGAGGGACGTGATACTATAAATGACCTGTGAAGATTTTTAGATGCTAACAAAGATTGAAATATTTGTACAACAGGGTTTAAAATAACTGATCAAAAACATTATGAATTTGTGATTATAATAACCCCTTTGGTGGGACTGTCATATCATCAATTTCTAACCAGTCAACACAGATAAACATTGTCCCTTTAACTATAGCAGGAGAGAAACGAGGCATCAAACATCCTAAAATATTTATACAGAAGCGGTTTCCTGCGAGAGATTCTCTGTATACCTAAAACCTTAGCTCTGTGCCTGATACAGAAAACACTTCCAAATGTTTATTGATTTGGGAATAAAGTTGACATGGACAGCCTCAGACAACTTAAGCCTATATGGTTATTGGCTGGAGTAAATCTTTGTTGTTTGCAACCAAGAACCCTGACTTAGGAACAGTACCTGTCCTCATCACACTTCCAAAGCACTGTTCCACCCCTCAAAGCAATACTGCCTACTTTTTTCATGCAATGGCTTGTTTAAAAGATGAGAATATTTGTTCAACATGCTGGGAAAATTAGAATTGCAGCTGGCCCAGAGGCTGGCCTAGGCATTGAGCAGTCCTGTCCCCACTCAGCCACTCCAAGGCTGAGGGCAACAATCTGTCAGAATCATCCTTGAAATTCTGGTTTCAAAACTCTGCCTTAAGAGAACAGCCAGCACCTTTCAAACAAGCTTTTCACAGCATCGGCACACAGTGTCTTCCTCAAATTTCTCATGAGAAAAGCACTCCCAAACATGGAATCATCAAGAATATTAAGAACTGTAATCCTGAAGAAAGGGATTGGTCAAGTGTATCCACATTCACTGAGGCCTAGGAATACCCTTTGTCTAGTTGTGAGCAACTCACTGACTCACAGAATATTGAAGTTGGAGGGAAGACACCTTCCAGGTTTATTTAGCTTTAAAAACAAGATGATAAAGAGCCCTGAATATTCTCCCTCCACTAACTTCTCAAGCAATACAAACCTTTTTAACATTGCTTTCCACAACCAGCTAAGCTGAGCATATAGTTTGCTTCGATCTTGGCCAAAAACCTCAACACGGGCAGTTGAGAGTCCACTACTCAATACAAAATCTATGGAATCTCTGCAATCTAGGTTACCAAAAGCATCTCTCCTTCACATTTTATAGAACAGCAAAAGGTGTCAGTTCCTCTATTAAGAGCCAGCATTATTTAGTTTCCAAAAACATCAGTATGTCCCTCAGGAAGAAACACTTTACACTGGGCTCACCTTACCATCCTCTCATCCTCAAGTCTGTTTCCATCAAAAAATTGTAAACAATTTTCTGCTTTAAATTTTTAACTATCTTGATTTATCTTTGAACTCTGCAAATCACCTATAACAGTACCTCAGACAAAACAGCAGTTCAACAAATATTTATTAAATTAGAATTATTAGTAGATTGTTTTTCTTATCAACATTTCACTGCCCCCTGCCCCCTGCCGCCATCTAATGGGCTTGTTTCGTTTCATTATATCACAGGAAAGCAAGATTCTGTTACCTGTATGGTCAGAATCAGAGAACTACAATCACTAGAATCCTCCCACCCAGCCTGTAAGAATGGAAACCGTCTCTACAACATTTTAGCCAATCTGCATATCTTCAACTCCACTGATATCACCATATTTGATAGCCCTTGTTTAACATCTGTTGTAGTAACAGCAAAGTACTTCATTGTTCATGGTAATGAAGACCACTGAAGGATCTACAATAGCTGCCTCTAGAGTATAACCTTTTTGATATAATGCTGAGTTCACTGTAGGTTATTTGGTAGATTGTCACAAAAATAACCACCAAGGAACCACAGCTCCCTGAGTCCATACCCATCTGCAAAGGGACCTTGCTGCTCCTTCCATAAATAGGTGAGGTCTATTTCCCTACCTTTTGAATCTGGGCTGGCCTTGGGGCTTGATTTAACCACAATACTATAGCAGAAGGAATACTGTATGACTTCCAAATCTAAGCCCTTTATGAGGCCTTGCAGCTTCCACTTTTGCCCTCCTGGAAAGCTACCCTGAGTTTGAATGTGAAGCAGCTCAGTCTATTCTCCTTGATGAAAGACCACATGGAACAAAAGGCCCAGCAGTCCCAGTCTTCCTAATAGACCTACTAAATACATATAAGCAAGCTCAGGTGAGACAGAACTACCACCCAACTAATGAAAAGAATCATAAAAATTAAACAGTTGCTCTTTCAAGTCAACTACTCACATGCGAAAGGAGCCAGGAAGGAATAATCAAAAAGCAATCTGAATCAATCCCTTTTAGGGAACACCCATTGACACCACAGGGTATTCCCTAGAACCACCACACAATAAAGAGAAACCTGGAACTGCAGTGTACAAGTCATTCATAGAATACCTTCAAGAATATTGGTATTTGACTTACAAGTATTCAGAACATCACATCGCAGAGAGGGGAGCTGTCATTTAAATTCTCATTTCTTCCTTGGCTCTCATTGTTACTACCTCATTTTCAAAACAGAAAGATTACCTGGAATAATTTTTTAATTATCTGCAATCACTGGTTATGAAATGAGTAACCCACAATTCCAACTATGCAACTTTACAGTCAAACAATTTCAGAAATGAGGAAATAAAGTGGTAGTAAAGAACTTACTTTCATTCTCTTTTCTCCCTAAATTACTACGGTAATGAGAGACCTAATATTTCATAAGCTCAAAAGAAAAAGAGATGTTAGGTCAGGCACGGTGGCTCATGCCTGTAATCCTAGCACTTTGGGAGGCTGAGGCGGACGGACCACCTGAGGTCAGGAGTTCAAGACCAGCCAGGCCAACATGGTAAAACCCCGTCTCTACTAAAAATACAAAAATTAGCCGGGCGTGGTGGCAGACACCTGTAATCCCAGCTACTCGGGAGGCTGAGGCAATGGAATCGCTTGAACCCAGGAGGTATAGGTTTCAGTGAGCAGAGATCGCGCCATTGCACTCCAGCCTGGGTGACAAGAGTGAAACTGCGTCTCAAAAAATAAATAAATAAATAAAAATAAATAAAGAAAAAGAGATGTTAGACTCGCAATATCAGGTATTCCATATATCCATGTATTAAGTGAGCTGCTATCAGCTAATATTATATTGCCCCTATCTCCCCCCACTGGCAATCTTTGATACATAAGAGTGAGCAATTACTAAAAAGTTCATAAAATCTCACTCAGAACTTTGAACTCTCATCAATAAAGCACTGTTGTTCATCCACACAGCTAAGCATTTTGGAAACTAGATGGTTCTGAGTTTAAGAAATCAAGTAAATATCCCAACAGCAACTTTTAGCACATTTTACACTTTTGTGTGTAAAATGGATTTTTAGAAAGCCCAATATAATAATTTACACAACAACAAGTGCAGAAATACCACAATTACAAACAAGTTATATGCCAGGCAGTGGAGATGAACAATAGATAAGGTAGCTGACCCCTCCACAAAGACTGTTTCGTTGGGCATTCTGCCAAAAAATTAAAAAGAAATGTGAGGCCAGACATGGTGACTCATGCCTGTAATCCCAGCACTTTGGGAGGCCAAAGCAAAAGGATCGTTTGCGCCCATGAGTTCAAAAGCAGCCTGGGCAACATAGTGAGATCCTGTCTCAAAAAAAAAGAAAAAGAAATGTAGTACAAGGAGGTTAAAGGGTAGGAATAGGAAAGAAAATTCTTTTCCAAGATGTCAAATGATCACCACTGAAAATACTAATAAATACCACTGGAACACTAATCAAGATACAAACAAGAATATTTCTGTGGTCTAGTACACTACACATCTGTGAAACCAGGATAAAAACAGTCTGCTACTTGGCAGTACTGTTGTGATAAGGATTAATATATCTTAAATATGCTATAATAGTGGCAAACAGTAGACATGAAAAGTGGTAACTACTATGATATTAGTTATAAGTACATATTAAAACCTAATTGAGAAAGTATTAAATTCTCTAGAGAAGAAAACTGGAAAATGTTTGTTTGATAGCGTTTAAACCAACAAAATATATTAGCAACAAAGAATTCAGCTTGCTTTGTAAATGTGTTTAAAACCACTTTCCCATAAAAATCTTATTCCTATCCTAATCCAGGATCCTTCCTAATTCTATTAAACTAGAAACCAGGGAAATCAATATAGACTAGCAGTGCCAATCGGCCTAGTTTTGAAGCTCAACTCTGCTACTTACTAGCTATATAATATCTCTTGGGTAAATGACTTCACCTCTCTGCCTTAGCGCCATACCTGCCAAATGGGATTAATATTACCTTCCCCATAGGGGCACTGTGAGGAGTAAAGGCATTACTATGCATAACAGAGTCAGCTAGATAGTCACTCATTCCAGCTTTATTATCAATTATGATAACTGTCTACATTTATGATGGCCAAGTCCTAAACCAGGGTAAAAGTAGATTACTAACAGCCATGATTCCTAAATATTAAACATTTTCCTCATCTGACAGGATCGGGCCTCAGAGGCTCTACTGTCAAGGAAAAAAAAAACAAAATAATTCACCCTCAGCATTTCCGACCTCTGGCAAAAGATTCATAGTCCTTTTCTTGGGTAGAAAAAAAAAATTTAACCCAGAATACCAAGGATTGTGTCACTCCTCTATCAGTTCCTGAAAGGGTACTGCTTTGACAACAAAAGGCTTAACAGCTCCTATCAGATTCTTAGAACACCAGACAAAGGCAAAAGCAGCATTCTACTTGTAGACTACCTCTTACTATGTATGGAGTCCTTCTTTGGTTAACAAAAGCCTTCAGGGAGAGTTGGAAGGCTTAAAAGCCCAAAACTCGCTTCCAAGCTGCTCATCTAACAAGGAAAAAAAAAATTTAACTCATTTCAGTTATAATAAAATAAGGGGTTTATGAAGCTTCATGGAATGCAGCTCCCAAAACACCCTAAATTCCTTTTAAACCTATTAACAGAAACTCATAACTGATTCATCCATTCTCTGATTCAGCTAACCACCAATGCCATTGATTATAATAGCCCCTCTCTGATCTCCAGTTATTTCACATCAATTAAGCACAGTGCCATCATTATGGGATTCCACAGCCAGCCACACCTTTGAGCTATCACTTAAAGCCAATAACAGCAACACTTTCTATCAGACTCTGAGCCAGATGTCTACTACCAACAAGCAAATATATAATTCCACAGGCTAAATTGAAAATCTCTCTGGCCAAGTCATGATTAGTCCAACCCCATAAAAATTACCCAGGGAGCCAGCTAATCAAAGAAGGCCCTACTGTAGTTTAAAATGTTGCTAAATTTAACAACATTTTAATCACCAACAAAATATAAAAAGCTTATCCGAAATAACCCCCCGAACCCCAATTCCATGTTCCAATGATTTTGCAAGTAGACTTCATGGGAACCTAAGAGTTGGAATTTCACAATTACACAACCACTCTGAGAAGGTTCCAAATGGATACCCAAAAGGAGGCAGCCAGTTATCTCCACCTTTGGTTCAGGGGAGAAGAGAATGTGTTAATAGTTCTCTGAATCCTTAATTTGTCCCTAGCTCATTTAAAGAGTTCACTCATACCATCATCTTTCACAGTCCTTAATAAGAACGGCCTAATCTGCTACATACCTGCACTGATTCCATTCACACAGAAACACTATTGCTATACATGTGCTGAGAGTTCTAGCCAGGAAGAGGAAACATTTGCAGCATAGCAAGAGTCAGTAAAGGTACTCAGCATTTTATCCAGGTGCTCAGACCATTTTTAAATCCATGTGATGCCTAAATCTCTGGCAAATCCAAAGGGCATTTGTGTTTTTAAGCCTCGAACTTGTGAGTATATCAACAGAAATCCCATGAAGACAAGTGAGACACAAACCCAAATTGATCAACCCCAACAAAATTTTCTATGTACAACAGTCAACAGTGGTCTCTTACTTTGCAATACACAGGCCACTTTGATAACCTCTGCCTCCTAATCCAACTCAATATTCTAATTAAGCTCCTCATGAGCACCCCAAAGTTTTAAGTTACTGTCTCACAATGTAACAAGAACAAGATACTCAGATTTCTGGAAAACCATCCACATAACTGATGCTTATTTTTTTAGTAGCAATCTTACTAATGGAATAAGGAATAGAATATGCAAACTTATGAAAGCTATGTCAAGAAAAGTCATAAGGCTTGTTCTGATTTCCATCTATATCCCAGAGCCCACGGAGTGGCTTCTAGTCTGACCTCACTGTACAGACAGAAGCACATATCAGATACTCTCTGAAGAACAGCTTGCTTGAACCCTAGCAAGGAACCACGTGCACACAGGTCTTACATCACATTTATTTTTCCTGCTTGGTAAATGCCATGACATCCTATCACCACCCTATTTTAACAACTGTTCACCACCTATAAGTGAAATAAAAACATTAACCATATTTTATAACTATAACATCAATATTTTTTCAATCAGTGCTTCCAAACCTTTTTTATATGTGCATATGAAAAAAAAAATGTGTACAACACAATGAAAGAAATATAAGTCTGTTCTTGACTCAAGGACAATGACACAGAGCTCTAGTGAGTGGCCCCAGGCCACAGGGCTAAGGGGATCCATATTTCAGCTGACACGTAAGTACTCACAACAGCACACAAATTGAGGAGCTACCAAATATGGTATTGAGAAATATATATTTTTGGTTTTGTCCCCATTTCCTGGCACACAACTCCTTAAATTCTTGGAATTTCCAAGGTGATGTATTTTTTGGATGCTAATGAGTTGACTGATGACTGGCAGCACCTAGCTTCAGGATGAGGGCTGGTGACCAGAAAGACCAGCAAATTAATTAACCCCAAAGGAGGGTTGTGGGAAACCCAACTGGGAGCCGGACAGTCAGAAGTTCTGAAGGCCCAGACTTAACAACTGGTATCTGAAGCAGGGGCAGCCTTGTGGGACTGAGCCCTCAACCGGTGGGATCTGACACTATCTCCAGGTAAGCTGTGTGATAATTGAACTGGAGGACACCCAGCTGGTATGTGCTGCAGAAGTGATTATTTGTTTGCTAGTGGGGAGAAATCCCCCATATTTGGTCACAAAGTCTTCTATGTTGATTGTTGTATGGTGTGAAAGCAGAGGAAAAAAGTTTGAGTTTTTCCTTACATCAAAACAATCAGATCTGACTTCTCCTTCTTGGCAAGTTTATAATGTTATAAGTAATAATGTTATTAACTATACAAGAAAGCCAGACTGGTCATAAGTCATAAGTAATTAACTCTTCTGCACTTCAATTCTATATGAACTTCATTAGCAAGTAGATTAGAATAAAGAAAGCTATAAGATGCAGAGAACTTCCTAGCCTAAGTACCCATTTGCTCCAAGGAAACAAACCATGTTCATCCTTTTCACGACAGAAAAATCACCAATCCAGTAGACAACCCATTATGGGATTACCACTCTTTTTCCCAGATAGATTCAAAGCTGTGGGCCAATTGTGTGCAAGGTAATTTTGCTACAGAAGTACCTGTAGTACAATGAAAAATATAACTGTATTTTGCCTTTGTCCCAGGTTTGGGGCACAGAGCTCTGAAAACCCTTAGAATCTCCTGAGTGACAGGAGTGTCTTTTGTTACCGATAATGTGGCCCTTTCAACCATACCTGACTTTGTGCAAGAGTCTGGTAACTCTCAGAGGGCCCCTATATAACTTCAGGATAGGGGCTGGCCACCAGAAAAAAACAACCAAGTGAGTAGACTGTTAAAACTTTCAGCTGCCACGCCCCCATACACACACCTCCAGGAAGGTGAAAAGGACTAGAGACGGAGTCCAATGGCCAATGATACAATCAATCATGCCTACCTAATAAAACCTCCATAAAAACCCCTAACAATAGGGTTCGGGGAGCTTCCAGATTGGTAAATGAATCAAGGATAGTGTGCACGGAAAGGTCACAGAACCTCTGCGCTATTCCCCTGTCCCCTTACTCCCAATACCTTGCCCTATACAGGGTCCTATCTCTTCCATTTGGCTGTTCATGAGCTGTAACCTTTATAATAAAGCCAATAACAGTAAATAAAGTTATTTCCTGAGTTCCATAAGACATGCTAGCAAATTATCAAACTTGATGGGGGTTGTGGTCAAGTTTGATAATGGGAACCCCCAAATTTGAAGTCATCCAAGCAGGAGTATGAGTATCCTAAACACCCCATTTGTGACTAGCATCCTAAGTGAGGAGAATCTTGAAGCACTGAGCCCTTCAACTTGTGAGATCTGATGCTAACTCCAGGTAAATAGTGTCAGAAATGAATTCAATTGTTGGATACACGGTTGCTGTCAGAGAATTGCTTGGTGTCAGAAAACACCTCAAGGTGTCAATATTGGAAATATGAAATAAAAATTTCCTTATTTCCATTAATATTTGTAATTGGTTTTTATAACTATCCAAATACATAAACAAGCCTAAAAACAAGTAAAACAAATTCCAAGTGAATTAGAGATAAAGTAGGAAGATATGGTTTATGAATATATTTTTCTCCATCATATATCAATAGTTGATTTACAAACAGGTATGAAAATATTATCAAGGATTATCAAGCCAGATGTCCTTCAAATACCTAGCAGACTCCTGACTTCAAGAACATCTTTTTTTTTTTTTGAGACGGAGTCTCACTCTGTCGCCCAGGCTGGGGTGCAGTGGCACAATCTCGGCTCACTGCAAGCTCCACTTCCTGGGTTCACGCCATTCTCCTGCCTCAGCCTCCCGAGTAGCTGGGACTACAGGCCCCCGCCACTACGCCCGGCTAATTTTTTGTATTTTTAGTAGAGGCGGGGTTTCACTGTGTTAGCCAGGATGGTCTCGATCTCCTGACCTCATGATCCGCCCACCTCGGCCTCCCAAAGTGCTGGGATTACAGGCGTGAGCCACTGCGCCTGGCCAAGAACATCTTCTTAAAGCAAAGAGTGTGTACGTCCACATCATCCTAACTCAGGAAAGTCAGAGAGTCTACCTTCCTTCTTTTCGACTCCATAGTGAATCACAGTTTTTTGTTTGTTTGTTTTCTGACAGAAGGTCTCACTCTGCTGCCCAGGCTGGAGTGCAGTGGCATGATCACATCTCACTGCGGCTTTCACCTCCCGAGCTTAGGCGATACTCCCACCTCAGCCTCCTGGGTAGCTGGGATTACAGGCCACCACGCCTAGCTAATTTTTGTATTTTTTTGTAGAGAAGGGGTTTCACCATGTTGCCCAGGTTCAGTTAATTTTTTATTCCAAGCTGACTTCTCTCCACCCTCCAGGGCACACCTGACTACCTTGTCCAACTGACCAATTACTTTACCCTCAAAGCAAACAATTCACACCACTTTACCTGTAATAACTGTTTTTCACCATGATCTGTCCTTAAGAATCCGGAAAGGCAAAAGAATAATTAAGTCATATACATAATTTTGTTTATATTTTAATTAAGACCATTTAGAGAGCCTTCAAATAACCTGTTACTACTACATGGTACCTTTTTTTTTTTTTTTTTTTTTTTGAGACAAAGTTTCGTTCTTGTTGCCCAGGCACGATCTCGGTTCACTGCAACCTCCACCTCCTGGGTTCAAGCAATTCCCCTGCCTCAGCCTCCCAAGTAGCTGGGATTATAGGTGCTTGCCACCACACCCGGCTAATTTTTGTATTTTTAATAGAGACGGGGTTTCGCCATGTTGGCCAGGCTGGTCTCAAACTCCTGACCTCAGGTGAGCCATCTGCCTCAGCCTCCCAAAGCGCTGAGATTACAGGCATGAGCCACCACGCCCAGCCTCCATCGGCATGACTTCTGACCATTGGAAATCAGACAGAACATTCTAATGAGTCCGACAACTCAGTTCTTTTCGTAACAGCACCTGTCATTTAATAGGAACTCAAATATTTCTTCAATAAATAAGGAATCGAAGCTCAAATGTTTGATTTAACATCTTTAGGACAAACAGTTTCACTAAGAGACACAATAGGGTGTTTTATCTGTATTTCCTGATGGGTCCAATTTGTTGTTTCTTTTTTTTCCTCATTAATCAAAATATGTATAACTGGATGTTATGCAGGTTCTCTGAAAAAGTTACCAGAAGCTTTTAGTAGAAAAATGCTAACAATAGAATTTCATGACACAAAAATTAGTCAGACATCTTCTGGCTTTGAAAACGATATGTGGCATTTTTAACTGCCATGAGTCATAAGACGTGGCGATCTTTTGTATACTCCACCAACTTTCCATTTCAGCACTGCATTTCACTATATAATCATTTTTAAGAAATGTTAGGTAACAATTCACAGTCAAATTTAAATTAAAATCCAACTATGTCACTACAAAAGCAAATAACAAAGGTAGAAAATGAGCAGGCATCTTCCACACAAAGGTAATACTGTAATAATTAGCAATATTATACTCCTCTTCCCATCCAAATGGCTTCTTTTGACCCTCATTAAATAACTCCCAATTTCAAAAATATTAACACGTGAATGACACTTTTATTTCCTAGTGGACACAATAAAAAACTATTTGCTGCCCATAAATGTATTCTACAAATTGAAAGTTTTAAAAGGTTGGACTAAATTAAGAATAATCAAGAGCGTGAATGGCACTCAAAGAAGATATGCTGCATTCTATCTACTTCATGTGTATACAGTACATGAGAGAATCTCGACTGAAATGTTTCTAATTTGTTACTTACAAAGACCCAAAAAGAAAATCAAAAGAGCAAATTAGTTGTAGAACATTATGAGAGAGAGACTTTAATAATTTAGTTAAAGTTAGATGATGGAACAGGAATAGGAAAAAAGGAAAGCTGGTTAAGAAATTATTACTGCTAAAGGGTAAATGACACCAACTGGACAACAATACACTGGTCATTAAAAGGTCATTACTAATTAAAACACAAGTAGGTCATCAGATTTTTATTATTAAATCTTGGATGAGAACTCTTACTCACTTCTAATCCTCACCAAACTGACTTTTGATGACTCAATCTGATTCCCAAGTATTGGGAAGGCAATGCCCTGAAGGATCTGAGCATTCTAAGCACTGAACACAAATTTTAAAAGCTGGGCTCTGATGTGGGATTGATCTTAATTTGGCAGGACTAGTCTTGTCTAACCATTGGCTCCTCAACTTCACCAGAGAACGTCTTATTACTTGACGTGGCTTTTGATTATCTGCAAAGATTAATGAGCCCTAATGAACGGGTCAACTCATGTTCCAGGGTAGAAAGGACAAGTATCCAGTTTTTATTCTATCAAAATACAGAGCATCCCAATAAATGTTTGTATATCATATGTGTGCATATAAATACACTTTCATATCCTTCAGTACTGGCATAGTTAAGTCAGAGATGACCAAGGCTTAACTATAATTTGCTTTCAGTCGTATGCCCCAAACACAAATTTTGTCTTTTTTTGGCTGGATACAACTACTATCTGCAAAGCCCACATATGTCTGAAAATGAGAGTCAACCTCTTCCTAAGAAAATAATTAATGTAGGCAAAGTTAATGGGCCAGAACTACCAGATGAAAGGCTGACGGAGAACTTTACACTATATGGATCACACTGGCAGCACCTAAGCCCATTGGTTTATCTTAACAAGAGCTCCAGCAAGAAATCATATGCCTCCTGATGTGATACAACAACACACCTGGATGTGATGTGAAGCACACAACACCGTCTATGAAGTAAGTGTTCTTGCCAAAAGTCTGATCAAGTTTCTGTAACTACCAGTTAAAGGTAAATAACAGGGCATGAAGGAACATGTTAAACACTAAAAGGATGCAATCAGCTAAATTCAAAATATACAAAATGCTACAAAATAAATTAACCAATTTTTTAAACAAAAAAAATGGTAAGGAAAAGAGAGAAGAGGGAATTACCACAGACTTAAAGAAACTTAAGAGACATATCAACCAAACACAATGTGTGCACATACCTTGCTGAGGTCTCAACTTGAACAAATTAACTGTAAATAAAGCATTTACAAGGCTTTTGGGGAAATGTGAACATTGAGTAGCTATCTAGTAATATTGTTTTGTTCATTTAATGGTAAGATAATTGTATCAAGGTTATGTACTTAAGAGTCCTTATCACTTAGAAGACATGTAACACATTTATGTGGATAAAATAATGATCATCAGAATTTGCTTTAAAGTATTTCAGCAGAGATAGCTGGAGGGAAGAAGAATAAGATTGGCTATATGTTGGTAATTGCTGATGCTATATAATGGGTACATGGGGGTTCATTACACTACTCTATTTTTGTGTATGTTTGAAATTTTCTACTATTAAAAGTTTTCAAAAATTAAATCTTTCTTCTAACCCTGCCAAAAAGAAAGTGGGGTGGGGATGCATAAAAATTTTGCTAAAAGCATCAGTTTGTTCTTATGACAGTCTGTACACAGTCTGTCCTCACAAAGTTCATGGCTGTGCCACCTTGTCCACTGACTTCACAGGTCTCCTGACCTACTAATCTTCTCCAGCTGTACCCAGGCATATAAGTCATTTCAGAATCCTGGAGCAATTTATTCCTTGTATCTGTCTAGGCCAGGAGAGTTTTAGGTTTTCACTAAACATCGTTTTCCCTAGTGGTAGATCCCCTGTGTTCCTAACTTCATAGCAACACGAATCTTTCTACTTTAATGTTCAGTAAGGCTTACTGGATAACCTTGATAAGCCTTACAAATGGCTTACCAAGATACAAATGGTAGGTCCAGATCTCATAACCTAGTGCAAATGAGGACTCCTCAAAAGCCATTTGATTTAGAAAATCATTCCTATAAGCGCCAACTGCTTTCAAGAATTAGTAAAACACTAAGGTTTACAACGTGTAAACTGTGACCAGACCAAGGTCACACAGTTCTGCCCCTTATTAGCTATATGACTTTGGAAATTTTATTTAACCTCTCTGTGCTTCAGTTTCCTCATCTATATTAACTATTATACCTACTTCATAAGGCTGCTGTGAGAATTAAAGGAGTTAATATAAAGTGCTTAGAGCAGGATTTGACACACATTAAGAGTTATTATTTCTACCACATAGCTCCTATATATGCTCAATCTCTCAAAGAACATACACTTCTTCAGAGTAGGCTCTAGATTTAATTCATCTTTAAGGATCCCAGTGCTTCTTATCATTGGTAATATCTTTATCTGTCGAAGGTATATATAGATACACATTTGTTAACTGTTAACATTTGTACCTCTCTTTCCTTATCCTTGTAAGAGCTTCTCTAAAGGGGAGTGAATATGTTCGTACGCACTTGATTTTCCTTTCTGATTAACGTTCATTTGGCATTTCTACCCAGGGAAAATGAACACCAAGATGGAAGTCACAACTTTTTCTTAGTGCATCTTATTAACTGTACATTTTTGCCTAGATTCGGATCTCATAAAACCATGTAGTGACAATCCAAATATTTACTACACCTTATCTGAAAACCATCACCCTAAATGTATGAGCTAAATTGAAAACCACTTTAACTGGATTCAGTTGGGAATACTCTCTGGAAACGTTCCATATCATTTCTACTCTGTATCTGTTCAACTCTGAAAGTTCTGTCAACATCCCTTTGTTGCTAGTAGTAAAGTTCAAGTGGCATATAAATGAAAACTTTCTGCAATGTGGGAAAGTCACTAATTATTTTCTTATCAAAAATGTCACACATTAAGCATCCCCAAATTATTTTAAGGTGCAATAGCTGTTAGAAACCTTCCTTCTCCTAGCAACAAAAAGCATTTTCAGGACAAATTCATGTTCCCACCATTTCCAAGGTCAAAGACAACTAAGCAACATTCCCTTTGTAATGGTATAAGGTATAAGCATAAAGTATGAGAGGAATAGGTGAATCCTGACTCTGGAATATACCACTTCTACTTCTACAATTCCTGGGCTTTAACTAATATAAAAACTTTTTTCCAAGCAGATGGACTTCCCATTGACAATTTATCATGGTCCCCACAAATGGTAATAAATATTAGATGTTAGTCTGGCTTACGGCTAATCCTACAAGTCTCATTTTTCAACTAACTTCATTAACTATATATATAAACTTATATAAACTGTATAAACCTCCAAGAGCAGTAAATGACATTTTGTTTCTTAGGATTGCTGACAAACTCAGTTGAATTTAATAATTTCCAAATTATATAATTTTTGTCACTGGCTGCAGACTTTTGCTACATAAAACGAGGAATCAGAAATTTAACCAGCTGAATTTTCTAAGTTCTTAGTTTTAAATGCAGAACAACTTAACCTTCCCTTTGCTCCTTGCTTTTCCTGTTTTCCTATAGTCCACTCCAATAAAGTCAAAACATCATCATTTACAGACACTTCTTAGCAGGTCAGTAAACTTAGTATCTTTCCCAAATTTCTTGGAAGATTCACAAAACATCCTTCTTCCTCTTTATGGTTTCCTTTTTATTATTACCAATTTAAAAAACAATTAGGGATACTTATAAAATCAGTCTCCAGGATGCCTCCTTTTTTTCCTCCAAATATACTGATGTGCAGTGCCACCAAAAACCACCGCCACCTGTACTCTAATTTCAATTCGTAGCATCCAGAATAATAGCTCTGGAGCATCTAATCTTCTAAATAAATATCCTGTTGCTATGTAAACACTTCCAAGTTAAATCATTTTTTAAAAGCACAAAGTTTTTAACGCCACCAAAAACGTAAAAGACAAAGCTACAGAAACTTAACACTACCCAAAATATTTAGAGCTCCAGAACTCTTCGGCCATGAACTGATAATATACTACAGCTACAAAAAAAAGGTGGCGGGGGGGAGGATAGTGATAAAGAGCTAAAAGCACCTTTGTGTGAAAAATAAATTATCAGAAGAGTATTTGCCAAACGCCTAGCTACTATCACTCTGATTAGCACACAATTCGGTTAGGCATTTTCTGAGGAAAATTCCTATGCCCAAAGATCTTTAAATGAGTCACGATTCTCATCTGAAAAAAAAAAAAATTAGAATGCTGACAACACTAAGGTAAATTCAACTTCATAAAAGCATTTCTTAAAAACTGTGTTTCTAAAAAAGGGGGCTTCTGTCATGAGTGGCACACATTGGGCAACTCAACTGCTCTTCATGAGGAATCAACATCAGGAGGTTTTGGAAGAATGATTTTTTTGGTAGTTGGGCAGCTTGTGAGAAAAAAATGTTTTCAGGCAAATCCTCATCCCTCCTCGAAAAATAAAAAATGAAAAAATGGTTTTATAAAGCAAGTAAGTCATATTCTAAACAACTATGTTCACAGGTTAGCTCATTAAAGTCAGTGAGATACGGTCATAAATTATATAAATACCTTTACATGTACAAAAACATTATCTTCAAATAACAGATAAATTAATCAACCTTCTAAGGCAGGACCTCTACACTTATAACTCTACATTTACAAATGGAAAAATATTTTTTCCCTAAAGTGTTCTTACATTCAGACTTCAGAAAAATTCAATGATCCAACAGTATTAAAGGAAACATGACACTATGGTCTTAAATAAATGTAACTTGAAGTTTATTTTATCTAAAATAAACTTATATTTAGAAAATAAACTGAAGAATAGATAAATGCATGAACTATAATCTATAAAAGGAAGACTGTGAGGAGCAGAGTGAATTTTTATTGAATTTCTACAGAGATGTTTCCCAAATTAAATATGTAATCGCTATTTGTGCATGTAAACACACACACACACATCTCCAATAAAACTCCACTGACTTGTAACAGGCAACTGTAATAAAGTGATTAAAAGAGAGTGACATAGCAATATAAAGAGCAAAAACTATGTGAAAGTCAATGAAAAAAATTAATCCTTCAGAGCTTCCATTAGTCATCAGAATCATCTTACAATAAATCTTTTTTATTTGTGATAGATTTGAGCATTTGAAGCAGCCAGTACTCAGACTTATCAGACTTGAATGATATCTAATTTCATGCTCTTTGCCCCATACCCTCCTACAACTACTGTATGATACATAATTCTTTTTAATAAATTAAACATAAGTTTATCTGATAATTCTGAAATATCCTTAGAATAAAAGTGGAGATTCTAGAAATAAGTGTGCCCCAACAGTGGAGAAATCAGTCCTTTGATGATTTCAAGCCTTTATTTTTATTTTATTTATTTTGATATGGAGTTATTTATTTATTTATTTTGAGACGGAGTTTTGTTCTTGTTGACCAGGCTGGAGTGCCATGGCACAATCTCGGCTCACTGCAACCTCTGCCTCCCAGGTTCAGCGATTCTCCTGCCTCAGCCTCCCAAATAGCTAGGATTACAGGCGTGTGCCACCACGCCCAGCTAATTTTGTATTTTTAGTAGAGGCGGGGTTTCTCCATGTTGGTCTGGCTGGTCTTGAACTCCCAACCTCAGGTGATCTGCCCGCCGTGGCCTCCCGAAGTGCTGGGATTACAGGCATGAGCCACCGTGCCCAGCCCAAGCCCAATTTTAAAGAAAAGTGTGACCACTTTTACCATAAAGTTAATGTCTATATTCCAGAGCAAACCAGCAGATTGTCTGCAAACATTACAGATTTGCACTTCTAATTTTTTAAGTCATGCAAATCACAGGACCAGATTTAGAAGAAGTGCTAATATATGTAAGCAACTGAGAACTTATACTAAAATATAGGTACTGATAGTACAAAAATAAATACTGTCAATTTAGGGCTAGCCATCTCTACCAAGTCTCCAGCTCCCCTCCCTGATGTGTGCACTCCCATTCCCTGAGTCTTTCACTGAGGTCTGAGCCAGCACAGACACATCTGCTTAACTCCAAAGCAGGGTAGGCCCATTGTTGGATCCCTAAGACACAGTGTCCAATCAAGAAAGCAGTTATCATGAGACTCTCAGCACCCTTTATGCTCATTCTCTCTCATGAGAGAACAGCAGGAGCAAAGGTGACCAGGACAGATCCACTCCTGCACCATCCTCACCCTGGTTCCAGTTAAAAATCAATTAGTATGTAACATCGGTGGTTGAACACTTATGTAATCAATGTAGGATCAACTCTAGTCCACTAAACTATGAGCTTGCTAACGGCAGGGGCCTATTCCATTCATTTCTGTACCAAGAATCTCGCTTACTGTATGGTTTCTAGGTGTCCAATATGTGATTTCGTGAATGTATATAAATAACTGTGTTGAATCCCAAAACTGGAAAATAAAGAGGAGCCTTCCAATGGGAAGAGGCAGAAATAAAAAGAGAGATGTGAAAAGCCAGCAGAAAGTAGCCACAGTGTAAAGAGACAGTGAGGGCAATCAAGGTGAATAATCAAAGTGGGAATACATATGCCCCTCCACCACATAATTAAGTTCTAACAGGTTCCGCTGTCCCAGCCTCCATTGTTAAATTCTTCCATATGTATCAAAGCAGGCCGCACTGCAAACCTATCATTTCTATAATGACAAAAACAGAGCCATTTAGAAGATTCAAAAGCATTTTTAATCCACATACAAAGCTACTTATAGACACTGTATATACAATTTTACTATAATCAATGTTTCTCTTGTTTTATATCTACAATAGAACTAGGTTAAATAAAAGAACAATAATGTGAGTACAACTTAAAATTTTTAAAAAGTCAGGCCAGGTGTGGTAGCTCATGCCTGTAATCTCAGCACTCTGGGAGGCTGAAGTGGGACTGCTTAAAGCCAGGAGTTCGAGACCAGCCTGGGCAACATAGCAAGATTCCATTTCTACAAAAAAATTTTAAAATGAGCTGGGTGTGGTGGCATATACCTGTAGTCCCAGCTGCTTGGGAGGCTGAGGTGGGAAGATCACTTGAACCCAGGAATTGGAGGCTGGGCTCCAACTTGGGAAACACAGTGAGACTCTGTCTCCGAAATGAACAAAAATAGAAGACAGCCTTTTTTTTTCATTAATTAGATTTTAGGTCAAAATACAAATAAAAGCTAAACGTTGTCATGCTAAATATTAAGCAGACATTTTGAAAAGTCAAAGCTAAAAATTATCACAGTGAATGTGTCAAAATTAAAAGCATAAAACAGAAGTTGTAACTTCATTTCATATAGATATATATCATATATAAAGGTTCACTATGAGCAGGAAATCATATATTACTTTTAGTCAGTTATTTAAGGCAAGGGAGACATAACAGTAATGAACCAATTAAAAAAACTTTTATCCTAGGGTCTAACTGCTTGATCTCTATTATTTATATACAGTTACATTGTGGGTGAACCATTCAAGAAATAAATTTTTGCTAACTACATTTCAAAGTAGTCATAACAATCAATCAGTGGAAACTATGCATTCTCATTCCAAAAAAAAATTTAAACATAGCAGAAATGTTTTTTCCAGGTTAATTTTTTTTGCCTTTGAATCAATGTACTTAAGAATGACACATATCAAAGCATCATTCTTCTCCAGTTCATGAATAAAAAGCAGAAGACAAAACGACTTATATCATATTTTGGTATATTTTTATGTTAACTGGAGAGTAGTCTCCTTGAGATGAGATTTTTTTAACTGTACTTGATACAGATGACATTTAAGCTTAAATGCATTTTTTTTTTGGCCGGGTACAGTCGCTCACACCTGTAATCTTGGCATTTTGGGAGGCCAAGAAAGGAGGATCTCTTGAGCCCAGGAGTTTGAGACTAGCCTAGGCAACAAAGTGAGACCCTGTCTCTACAAAAAAGTTTAAAGTCAGTCAGGCATGGTGGCATGCACCTGCAGTCCCAGTTACTCAGGAGGCTGAGACAGGAGGATCGCTTGAGGGAGGTCAAGGCTGCAGTGAACTATGATTGCACCACTGCACTCCAGCCTGGACAACAGAGTGGGACCCTGTCTCAATAAATAAAATACAAGGTTTATAACTTTTTTTTTGATATAGAAAGTCTGTTTTGTATTATATGAAGACTAGTGTCCTAATACAGAATAAGGATGGTGAGGGAGGCAGAAGAAAAACACTGTTTTGTTTTAAAGAAAAAAATTAAAAATATATTCAATGTATGGTTTATAATAATTCAATCTTAAAGCATAAGATGTCTGAATATAACTCTATACTTTCTGCACCACGATCTTAAAAGTGAATTCTCTTCTACTTGTAATTTAAATTAGGGTTAAGTCTGAATACCTATATATACTTTTCTATACCTAAATACGTATTTCCATATTATATACATCTAAATACCTATACATATTTTGCTATTTCAATTTCAAGTGAAAAAAGTACAATTTACAATCAAGAATATAATTTTTTTAATATTTGGAAGAAGAATGAAAAATGGTAGCTCTTTGAATGTAAAATTGCCATGGCTGGTTAGCTGAAACAATAGTGGACACATTCCCAATACCAAGATGGATATGAAAAAAATAAATAGCATAATATCATAAAATTTGTAGCTTACTTTGTGCCTTTTCACAGAAGTTTATCTGAAAGCCTAAAGTAAAAAAGATAAGTTCCAGTTCATTTACTGTAAATCAAACAAACCAAAATTGGAACATGACATTGCATTTTTATATTAAATTTTGAATAAAACTAATTCAAGAACAGGTCAAATCACATTACCCCCACCAGAGACAATAACACATGAGCTTTCTTAAAAAACTTAGCTCTGTCAGATGTAGATGTAATACATTACATGAAACTGAAATCAAGTTTAAATTGTGTTGCAGTCTTAATCTTTATTTTTCATATATATTTAATAAAAAGAACTACAAGCCCTTAGAAGTTAACAGTAACCTTTAAGATAGTTCTGTCCATTTTTTCAATGTTTTCAACCTACAAATACAGAATGAGTTACTTAACTAACTTAAATTACTGATTTAGAGTTACCCATGATTAATTACCATCTATGATGCAAAAGTTTTAGCAGTTCATAAATTGTGAAACTTACACACACATAAAACATTTCCTAGTAAATTAGCTAACTTCAAACAATAAGACAATGAACTGCTGAAGAGGGGCTGAAATTCTTCTAAAATAGGCCTGAAAAAATAAGATAGTGTCCCTAGGAATGAGAAAGCTGAGTACTTTAGAAGTTACAAGAAGAAAACCTGTGAATTCCCCTTAGAAACCTAAACACATTTTCAAATCCAGTTGGATCTGGTTACACCTTATGTATACACTGTATACAGATATAATTTTTGATAAGATGCATCCAGTAAAGTAAGCCAATTAAAACAAAAGCCTTCACAAAATATTCTTTCACCCCTAGTTTAGTGAGTGGATGGATATCTGGTTTTGTTAGTGGTCTATCTACGCTTGTGTTTTGGGGAACAAAATGAAGGAAGTAAGCTTACAATAACTTTGTGTTTAAACAAATTCAATCAAAACACGCAGAAAAAAGAGCCAGGACTGAAGAAAGGATAGTTAAGTAGTCTTTCCTATCCAGTTATCAAAATTCTTAGGATTCTAAGAAGATGCCATCTATAAAGTACAAAAACTGAAAAATGCTAATGTAGCTACTTTGACATGAAAAGTGTCTTTGGTGCACCACCGAAGTAATCCACTGCTGACTACCTTATCATAGAAATGACAATGCAGGAAGAAGTGAGAATGGAGACTTCATGGGAAAGAAGTACTAGGGCAAACCTAGAAGGTCTGACCCTGGTCTCTCTACCACTGAAGGTCAATATGCTACCCCACCAAATGTGCAGTGGGAACAGAATTCAGAAAGAAAAACAGAGATGTATGGGTCTTACAAGCCTAAGCAACTAAAAGCCACTGGCCTCCTACCACGCAAAATGAGCTGACTACATTCAGGAAGAAAAGGGTTCTCTGGAAGTAGCAGGCAAGTCTTCCCCGCATCCCACTGGAAAAGGGAAGGTAAAACTCACCTTCTACTACAACTGGAGAGGAGGCTGGGAAACAAACAACTTTAAAGCAAAATACCCTGATTGACTGTTACTAGGTAGCAAAAAGAAAGAGGTGAAAAGGAGAGAGAAGAGGTGAACAAAATAGTAATATGGATGGCGAAAGGAGCAAGAAAACAAATTTGTAAGGTATATGAAAAAGAAATCAGTTGGATCTATATGTAAGGTTGTGTTAAAAAAAGTTACATTGCTTAATAAGTGTATAATATATTAAAAATTTTAAGGTATATGTGACTGAGAATGACAGAATGTCGCCAATGATTGCTCTAACACATTAAAAGCTAAGCGCCAGTTTAAGTGTTAAAAAATTCTCAAAACCTGAAATTCTGTCACCAGTACAGAATCTATATAAGTAGCTACAAAGGAGGTGGGAAGGGGATTAAAATGTTCAAAGCATAAGTATAGACTTGTTCTTTGTATCTAATTATGAAGTGACCAGGTGAACGAATTCTGGGGTCTCATCCAAACATCCATCTCTCCACATTATTTCTCACTAAGAAAATACTTGGTAACTCGCCCAGAGTCCACTGACAAGCAAGGTCTAAATTAACTGGAACACACTGGCTCACCTTTTCTTTAGCAATTCTGTAACTTTCTTAACATTATTAAATTAGGGAAGAAGCGTTTTTAGTTAGTCTGTCTAAATCTTTAAGACCTGCAAAAGTCAGAAAGTTAGTGCTTATAGTGCAGATTTGGGAAAGTACCAAATAGCTCCACTAGCTCATACTCAAAGGGTAAGGATGGGCAAAGGGGACAAGCAACAGTCTTGCACAAGAGAAAGATGGTGGGAAGGAAAAATGAGGAAAACTTCCAATATCCTCAACTTTACAAAATGCAAGTTCTTAGTTATGATATAATATTCACTAGTATTCACTCACATATGTTCAATTTTTCTTTTTTTCTTTTTTTTTTTTAGAGACAGGGTCTTGCTGTCGCTCATGCTGGAGTGCAGTGGCATGATCATAGCTCACTGCAGCCTCAAACTCCTGGGCTCAAGCAATCCTCTCATCTCAGCAGGTGCAAGCCACTATGTCTGGCTAACTTTTGGAGTTTTTTGTTTTTTGTTTTTGTAGAGATGGAGTCCCAACATGTTGCCCAGGCTAGTCTCAAACAATCCTCCTGCCTCAGCCTCCCAAAGTTATGGGATTATAGGCATGAGCCATCTCACCTGGCCAATATGTTCAATTTTTGAAGTCTCCCTTGTCTCCGAAATTCTGACTTCCTATTCACTTACTTTAAGTCCTATCTCTGGAGGTACTAGATAATCCGTTGAACCTGTTGATAGTTAACTGGTTACATTTTAAGTCGTGTGTGCCTCACTTTTTTATATCTGGGTGAACTATCTGTACCCTGGGGCTTAATTTGACATGATCCTCCATTTATATTTTCCCCATTACAAGTAGGGGTAAATTTGAGTCTTTTTCATTTTTCCTGGCCCCAGGCAAGTTTAATTAAATCTTAGAATAAATATCAAGAATAATATTTATTTAAGAATTTAAATTCTTAATTCTTGACACTGATGAATCAATATCAAAATGCATAGGACAGAATGCTAGTAAGCCTATAAAAGAAATAAAGCTACATGAGGGTTTTTCCTCCTCCTTTTTCTCTCTACGTATCTCCTACCCTCGTTCCCACATTTGCCCCTCATTCTCACCCTCTTACCTCAATTTTAAGATCTTTTATGTGGCCATAACTTGAAACCTACAATTTACTGTTCTTACCAAATACAGTGAGGTAAGCGGCTGTTTAGGATGTGTAAGTGTTTATAAAAACAAAAAGCAAATGGTGTTCGATAAAGTAAAAAACAAAATGAAGTGTGTTAGGAGACCAGAGTTCTAGTTCCAACTGTGAAACTGAAGTCATTTCACTTGAGTCCTAGTTTTGTCATTTTTAAATAAAGAATATTATCTTAAGGGTTTGAAAACAGTGTGCCTAAATCTAATTTTGCTTGTGTAATGGCCATTATGAGGTTTTGTAGTTATCTCCATTCCCATTCCTCTAGGTTGATAATATAAATCAGAGAGGGTGTGGGGCCGGACATAAGTGGTTTCCTATCTCCTCAGTAGTTGCTTCTGATTCCCTGGACATTCTGGATTTTTGCACTGCTGAAAGTGCATTATGAACTACAATATGAACCCACACTAATGTAAAGAAAATCAGAGCTGCCTTACTGGGTCATGCCCATAAGACCGTGCTACAAAGTCTTTCCTCTGTCACAAGCATGAAGGGTCTATTTGTCTGACACCTTCAAACTTCCAACTTCAAAATTCTGGCATGTGCCTTAAACCACAGCTACCCATAGTATATCATTATGGCTCTAACATGTAAGGCGTTATCTAAACCTACCCTAAATTTGTATTTTCATTGTACTCAGAGCAAGTTCCCCAAGATTTATTTCCTGATGGTTTATTTCTTTCAGATTTCCTTATGTCAACTTTCTGAAACTATCAAAAGGGAGCCACCCTAAGTTAGCAATTCCAGGTTGTTAGAATCATCCACCAGTCAGGAGTTGATAAAATACTCATCAAATCCCTTCCACACTTTTTAAATTCAAGTGTCCTCATAATGCCAGCTCTTTTTCTCTCTTTGGGCAATGACCACCTTATTTATTCTTTGGCCACAAAATTAAATGCCACATTACCTTCTCAAGCCTGTTTAATGAAGCACAGTACACTGAGACAGTAACTTACAATTATGTTCCTTCGGGCAAGTATCTAACTTCTATGAGCCTCAATTTCCTCATTTGTGAAAAATAAAATAATACCCAAAAGAGCTTTGTGATGATTAAATGGGAAAATATATCTAAAATGTCCAACCAAAAGCCTGGACTAAAGCAGGTTATTATTATCACAGGCACTATTATTCCTGTTCTCTCCCTCATGGGAGCAACGATTATGGCACCTTCCCTATCTTTCTGGTGCTCACCAGACCAGCTTAACCTACACAAAACCAGTCTTTCTCCTTTCATTCACAGTCACCTTGAGAGAATTAAAAGGGAAGGACTCCAAACAGCCCTGGAGATCCACACCCCACCCTCTACACCTCTGCCACAACCCTTCCTAGGCACAGCCTGGTATCCTGAGGACTCTAACAACCCCAAAAAGATGGATGCTTCCCCATGACAGGCACATAACCAGATCCCAGGGAAACTGCCAAAATCATCAGGGGAGCTCCTTAATGTCACTGATTTCTTCAGCAAAGCCAGGCAATAAATAGACATAGGCATGTCAGATATATATACATCTGACATATATATATCTCAGATATATATGTCTGGTAACACTTTGCTTGATTCCTCTTTTTTTAAATGTTTGAACAATTTGGTGTCTGTGTGTGTGTGTGTATGTTCAGATATATATGTCTGGCAACACTTTTCTTGATTCCTCGTTTTTCAATGTTTGAGCAATTTTGGGTAAAATGAAATACAATATAGCTCGAAAAAGCTGCTGTGATGTCCATTTTAATCCTCTTTCTCCGTGGTGGAGAATAATGTGTTGTTCTTAAAGAACCAAGCTGCATACAATGTAATTGTTTTCTTCATTCAAAAGGCCCACCTTGAGTTGTGTAAACTACTGGCTAATCATCTCCCTTTCACTGTGTAGCTACAAGCAAGGCCAGTCTTACGACTTGAATACTTTCTATTAATTTAAGTACACATTAAACTCCCAACCTTACCGAGCATGAAGAGACACCTGAAGATTTTCTAGAGTTGGGAGGAAACAGCTAGAAGCTAACCCACATCCACTAGCAAAAATAGTAATTTGCCCAGATTACAAATTTAGCCAGAACGACAACATTTGTTAAATTTTATGACAAATGAGTTCCTTTTATATATAGTGTTAAAAGGATTCTATTACCTTTCAAATCTGCAATGGTTTCCTCTAATTAAAGTCTTCTACTTACTTGGAGATTCCCAATCGAAATGTCTCCAGATTCAAAATGCCACTGTAAACCCTCCAGCAAGTTTAGAACATTGTAACATGAAGTGCACCATTCTTGGAGCACCAAGGCTCCAAAATCATCTCAAAAGGTGGCTGGTTGCTTGGAGCTTCCGCCCCCTGACTGAAACCTAAAATAATCTCTCTCCTCCATTCCTGAATCTGCATCACTTCTGGCAAAGATGCTTCCTTCAGACCTGAATGGCCGAAATGACTTAAAGAGGCTCAGAGAACCATGCAGTAGAGTAGTAAGAGGAGCAAAGGCTACCAGTCACCCAGGTGGTTAAAACCTACCTCTTCCGGAACAAATAAACGTCTACCCCCTCATCTATGAAGGGGACTATGTCCACTTACCTTTAAAGGGTGGTTGTGAGCATCAAATTAGGTAGGAACAGTGAAAAAAGTTGTTAACTGTTACTTTCCCTTTCTTTTTTAAGCCTCAATTAAAGTTTCTCAGGTTGTATCATTGGAGCCATCTGCACTTCCTAGAGACTACAAAGGAGACTGACCTCGATTATGTAGAATGGAGTTAGGATTATGATATCCAGACCCCTAAAAATAAGGAAACTCTATGGGCTCACATCAATCCAGCTTCTCAAATTAGTGAAAGAAGAAAAATTTACGAAAAAAGAAAACGACTCAAAATACAGGGTTAACTAATATCCCATCTTAAACAAGTTTCAGCACACATTCAGGCTAGTAAGGTATTTTAAAGGAAAATGTGAGAAAATATGTATTCTAAAAGTGAGGTGAGATGTTTTTCCACTTTTTTACTTTAATACTAGGGTTGCTCTAATTTTTAAGGGAACATAAGAAGAAATGCAGTCTGAGCTTTGAGGGGGGACTAATTTGCTGAGGTGAACTTGTATGAGGTTATGTTAAACAGTAAAAGAAATGTTATGCAACACACTGGGAAGGGCAAGCAGTTCTGGGGTTTGAAACTCTTCACTGTCTGCACAAATCAGTTCTTTAAAATTAAGATAAAGGTCTCCCATGGTTCTCGAAAACCAGACTAATTAGTAAAAACAGATAAACAAAATCAAAAGCAGGACATTTCATATACATTTTATATTCAAATATTTTTGGGAGAAATAACTACATTGATTTTAAATCTCTTGACTTTTTCTTAACAGATATACTTCATTACATTTTAAAGTACTGGGCGTGTTTTCTAAAGCAGAATCAAGCTATCATCTTTCTACTTAAACTGATACATAAAAATGCTCAGCTAAGGGTAAATAGCTAAGGACTCGACTGGTCACAAAGTTTTCTGTAAATCAGAACTTTAAGAGAATCAGAGGCACCTACAACATATACTTTCTAACTATTTCTTGTAACAAGTATTTTACAAATGGCTCAATGTTTTTCTGAATCAATTATAGATTCTATTCTAACCATTTTAAGAAAACATCTATTGAAAACTGACATTTCTCAGCTAAGCGATCTTTGAAATCTATTACATTTTAAGTGATTAGTAGCTACAGCAGGCAAATAATCATGTCTAATAACAATCTGTATATACTTATAGATATTCTATAATTTTCAAAGCACTTTCACATGCATTAAGAATGTGATTCTTACAATGGCCCTACAGGTTAGGCATTATCCCTATTTTAACAGATGAGAAATTTCTGAACAGAGAGTTGAGAAAAGTTAGGGAATTTCCCTAAAATCTCAGTGTTTGTAAACAGCAGAGCAGTTACCTTAACCATGGTTTTCTGAGTCTAAGTCCAGTGCTCTTTACACTTCAACATCCTTTTGTTTCTTAAACATTACTACATGCTATGGGAACGCTAGCTGCTACAGCTACTACTGGAAAAGGAATCATCCTGCCTATGCAATTTCATTATAGAAGCTGTTGAATTCTCAACTGGCAAGCTCTATTAATCAGAATATGCTATTCTCTAACATGCCAACCATACTATCTAGTACTATTTGCTATACATATCTAAGATTAATTACCTGGTATAACGGGATCTTCTCTTTACAGGATTCACACTAACCCAGCTAAAGTCACGAGGCTTTAGATTTGCCACAAGGGAAAGCCCTAGCCATGGCTAGGAAGGTTCTTGAATGCTACAAGTCAATTCCGTACTTTAGGTTGGCTAAAATTTCTTGGACTAAAGAATAATACTTTTCCACAGAATGAGGCCCTAATATGCAAGAAATTTTCCTATTAAATCTATCTACATTAACAAATTATTGATGAAACATTAAGAATAAAAACATTTCTCAGAGTAGTTAATTTGAGTATTGTTTCCTCTCTCAAATGCAAACTCATCCTAATGCCAAATATACTTTCATAAAACCACTTACCTAACTTGGCAAACAGATCTACATTTTGTTAGCTTTAGTCATCAAAGAACCAAAGCCTAAGAACTACTCAACGTATAAAGGTTGGGTGTGTTTGTGAATGAACATGAAAAAAAAATGAGTCAGAATGAGTGAAGACACTCAAATCTTTTGAGTAATAACAAAATTAGCAGCTATTCCCTATTATCTGAGGGACAGTGGCAAAAATGGCCAGATTAGAAGCCATAACTGTTAGCATAAACATGCAACCAAAGCTACGTCTGTTGATTACTCTTATAATCAAATTCACTATAAATCCCATTCCAACCATCTACCCATCCCCTATGAAAAAAATGAGTAGAGCAAATTGATAGCTAGACTTCTGTTTCATATCGTTCACATTGTAATTCATTTGAGAGTCCTCAGATCCAGAAAAAAACAGATCCGGAGTTTGAAGTAGAATAAAATCTCATCTAGGATACTCTGAAAGGACTGCTCAATAATGAAAAGTGGGGAAATCAACAGGTTAGAGAGAACAGTGGGACCTAGTAATATGAACTAAAGAAATTGTGTGGTAAATAATGAGAGGTTAGGGACTCATTTACCAATAGTAAAAGGGACCATTAATGAGACCATAACAATATTGTCGCTACTAACAATGATGGCTAATGTGTATTGCATCCTTACTACATGTCAGGTCCCAGGCTTACATGCATTCTCAAAGCCACCGGGGAGGTAAGCGTTATTCCCACTTTCCAAGTGAGAAACTGAGGCTTCGAAAGGCCAAGTTCATTGCCCCTGGTCACAAAACGCATATCTGAATCCTGGCCAAGAGATTCAAACCCAGAACTCCAGAGCTCTGGTTCTTAAGCAGTATATTAAGAAAGCAATATTGGCCAGCCTGGACCACTCTTGGGCCATAAACATGAAGCCATGAAAAAGTATTCAAGGTTATCCAGTGCCCACCACAGTGCTTACCACATAAGAGGATGTCCAATGTCTACTGCATGAAACATTCCTTATGTTCCACAACTGAATCCTGCTGTTTCAGAGAGCATGGTCATTAACAACTCCCAGAAAGGAAGTTTTTTGAGTGGCAAGTATAATTAGATTGGGGGAGAAGGAATGGAAGTACATCAAACATCTTCTAAGGCCCACTCTGTGAAGTCTGATCTAAAGCAAAAGAAGACCCTTGGCAGATGAAGTACAGTATGGGAGGTGTGACTCCCATACAATTGGATGGGAATCTTTCTTTTTGGGTTCTTATAAGATTTCCTCTTCAAGGGCCTCACAATTAAGATACAGAACAAAACAAACCAAAAAGAAGGATCCTAAATTGCTGCTTAAGTTCAAGCTTTATAACAGACTGTTCTAGACAACATCCTGAGAATATCAAGCACTTCATTCTGACTAATGAAAAAAGTTTCAAGAACAAGATATAACACATTCCTGAATCAATCAAGACTAGACACAATATTGATAAAAAAGAAAATTCGGCAATAATTCATAGAGAGGTCTTAGGTCCTTTTTCCTTCTAAAATGGGTTCTGCTTATTAGAAAGTTTAGTTAACTGGGTATCAACATACAAGGGCTGAGGAGAACGGACAGCATCAGAAAAAGTCCTAACCACTGCCTTAGGAGTTCCTAGAACACTCCAAGCTCTTCCCTGCTTTGGAACCTTCATACACACAGTTCCTCTGCCTAGAACCGTCTTCAGGTAAAAGAGGGTTAGCTTTCCAGACAAGCCTTCTCTGACCATCTTATCAAGCGGACTGCCCTCTATTATCTTCTATCACAAAACCCAGCTTGTTACCTTTATTACTTTTCCAACTAGTAATTTTTCATGTTTAGCTAAATAGCCTTCCCTCCCCCATCTTCACAGGGGGATAACCTCCATGAGGACAGTTAGAGATGTTCAATTCTCTATAAACTCAGCATGAGCGTTTTATGCAGATGCTCAATAAATATTTTTTGAACCAAAAAAACACACTGTATCCAGCTATTTCAAACTGTCAGCCTCCCCACCAATAAAACAAACAAACAAATCACCTTGTTTTTATAAGCTTTGTAAGTCACCCATCTGGAACAAGAAATACAATCCTAAATTGTCATTTTGCCATTTCATTTCGCCCCAACCACCACCACCTAAATTGTAAAGCTGTACAGTCAGGAAGTCAATCTTATACTTCATCAGTATAATGTGCTGTGCAACACAGTGGGCATCCAATAACTAATTCAATTTGAATGAATTATCTGAGGGCCTGCACAGAAAGTGTCCTCTAAGCTCTGACATCATCCTGTCTATATATCTATCACTGGTTTTTATGTATATTAAAATTATTTCATGGGGAGGGTGACAGGGATGTAAAGATAAATAAAATCCTGTCTCTTCTTTCTGAATTATGGCATGCTCTATAAACATGAACTATTCAATAAATGTCTGTTGAACCTAACTAAATGCTAGAAGCCCTTTAAGAGGAATGGAATCAAAAAGTAACCATGGTCACACTGACTACCAAGGGTACCCCAACCCTTATTCTGTTAATAATTCAACACAAGCAGTTTGCTAAAGTTGTCAAGAGAGTTCTGAGATTCCCTGTTTTAAAAATAGCATTACTACTCAAAATTCCCCAGTAAATTTAAGGAAATGGTCCCTAACAGGCTCGGGCCTGGCCTGGTATTTTCACAACACCCCCTGTCAAAAGCCATACACAGCTAATAAGCATTCCCAGTGGGGAAAGTCATTAATTAGCAGAGCTGCCTCAAATGTCCAGACACTACAGTATCACTTTGACCCCTGTCTATTTCCTGTATCTCTCCATTTAAACCAAATTAAGTCTTCTTTTTTTTTTTTTTTTTTTTTCTTCCTGCACGCAATGCTAACACAGAAATCCCTGGCCTGGAACAAAATGCCTCTCCCAGGCCAATGCAGCCTACCTACCTTACAGGTGGCACAGGCCTGGGCAACCCGCCCCCCACCCCCATCCCTTCCAGCGCACAGAAACCCTGCAAAAGTTTGAAAACGCAGGTTCCAAGAGGCCCCCGTAGCCCGAGGTCAGCTCGGTGGTCCGGCTCCAGCTGTGCCCGGCGACAGCCAAGATGGCCCTGAGCGGGGCCCACTGCGGCGGCGGGGCCGAGGGGCGCCGGCCGGGGCCGCTGTCTTCGCCGCCTACCTGAGCGGCGTCAGGGACCAGGGGGCAGGCCCGACGCCCCTCCCGCTCCGCCGCAGCCCCGAGCCGGCGCGTTCCCGGAAACGGGGGCCGGGCGGGCGCCAGGTAAGCGGCGGGGGCGATGGGGACGGCCGCGGGGGCGGTCCCGGACCAGGTGGGCCCTGCGGGCCTGCTGAGAGCCCGGTAGGGCCCAGGGGCCAAGCGCAGGCAGAGGCCGCGGCCGGGGCCTATGCGGGCCGGAGCCCGGATCCAAGCCGGGCCGGAGGCGGCCGGGAGCGGGGCGGGAAGCCGGGGAGGGAGAGAGGGAGAAGCCGGCGGCTGCCGTGGCTTCCTCAGCCGGGTCCGGGGGCGTCCGCTGGGGCAGGCCGCGACGACGCGGGTTGCCGCGCTAGGGGGCTGGGATCTCGGCGCGGCCGCGTTCCTTACCCTGCATGCTGCTGACGGCCGGGTGGCCTGGCGCCGGGGACCCTACGGGGCCGGGGGTGCCGCTGCCGCTGCCGCCCCCGGAGCCGCCGCCGCCGCTCGGGCTCGGAGCCGCCATTGTTGGGAGTGAAGAGCCGAGCGGCGCCGCGGCGGCTGCAATGCAGCAAGCTCGGCCTCTCGCACGGCCGAGGGGCGAGGCTTACCCCCGCCTTGGCCCCGCCTCCGACACGCCCCGGACACGCCTCCTGACACGCCCCCGCCAGAGCCCGACGCGCAGCCCGGGCCAGATGCTGAGCTGCAGAACCGCCCGGCTCTGGGTGCGCGACCTGTGAAGCAGACAGCTGTCTTGGACCAGGGCTGCGGGCCCGCGGGGCCTAAAGTGGTTTGCAGAATTAAAGGTGGGCCTGCATTTGTGCGGAAAGAAGGTACGCAGCTTTCATCATTCCCATGGAGGTCTGTGACTCCCAAAAGTCCACTTTGTTGGAATCTCAGAACCCCAAATCAGAATAGTAAAGCTGAAAAGGATCCCAGGGATCCCTTTCTCCTCCAGTCGCTAACACATCACTTCCAGAAGGGAGTTACCTAGAGCTATGGTTACAGTCTGGAACTCCTCTTAAGCCCAATACCCCAACCCTCTACACTTCTCTGAGGGGAAAGGGGAGTCCCAAGGGGAACTAACCAAAGTGCTGTCCATGGACCCATCCCAAAACTACTGAATTAGAGGTTACATTTTAATAATACCACCAGGTAATTTGTATGCCCATTAAATTTGAGAAGCATATATTTAAGCACTCGACACTTCCCAGCCTCCTGAAATATGCTATCTACATCACCATCTTCCCCTAAATGCACACTGGATTCCCTCTCCCAAATCCTTTACATCTTGTATAAGACGAGCCGTAGTCATTATTGTAAGTTACATAAAATGACAACCCCAAAAAACAATATGAGGTTTCTTCCATTGCTTTGCACAGAGACTTTTATTTTAGGAAGACAGTAGCTAAAAGAAGAAAAAGTTCTCTATGAGGCTACGATTTGTAAGCCAACCATAATGTACTCGAAATGGTAAGACATGGGTTTCTGGCCAGGCAGCCTTGCCTAAAATGGAATAGCCAGTTATCCTACTTCCCAAAGAATCTAAGCCATGGAGCTGGACATTTTCTCCCATTTAGAAGCATTGTGTGATCTACAGCTAGACTTCTTTCCCAAAACTTCTTCCACCCAGATGTTATTTGATGCTGAGAGTTCTTCACAGCATGTTGGAAATGTGTCCTGGGTCAAAATAGCCCTGCCTTCTTGTTCCAAACCCAATTTCATCCATCATCTTGATGGCTCAGATCCTAAAAGTGGCTAGCCGTAAACATCAAGTGGAGAGGCATTAAAGGCAAATTGAAGGTGAGAGCAGGTAGGTGTACTTCAGTGGAGAGCCCGCCAGAATTCTCCTCCATGGGCCTCGTTGGCTGCCCAATATCTTCAAGTCCAGGTCTTATAAACATGGCCAGATTCCCATCTGGAAATCAGTAGCCCACCCAGCTCTTGTTGCTCCTAGGGCATCTTAATTATGAGCCATCATAACTGGCCTTTAATAAGAATTTAATATATATTCTTTTAATAGAAATCCTAGAAGCAGCACTACAGATTAGGCAACTACTAGAAAATTAATTTAAACACACACACACACACACACACACACACACACACACACACACATCCAATATTATAAATAACATATATTAAAGAAGGCTGGGGATGTTGGCTCACACCTGTAATCCCAGCACTTTGGGAGGCCAAGGCGGGTGGATTACGTGAGGTCAGGAGTTAGTGACCAGCCTGGCCAACGTGGTGAAACCCTGTCTCTACTAAAAATACAGAAAAAAACAAAAATTAGCCGGTGTGGTGGCAGGTACCTATAATCCCAGCTACTAGGGAGGCTGAGGCAGGAGAATCGCTTGAACCTGGGAGGCAGAGGTTGCAGTGAGCCGAGATTGTGCCACTGCACTCCAGCCTGGGTGACAGAGCAAGACTCCATCTATTAAAAAAAATATGTATATATATAGTTATATTTATATATATATAGGAAAACCTTCAACCTAGCAAATTCATTAAGGGAAATTGGGAAACTGAATTAAAAGAGAAATACAATAAAAATATAACTAATCTTATTTTTAAGAATACCTAATTCTGAGTTTGTGATAAAACTGACATATACTTGCATTGCTGTTGGTATTGTAAACTAGTAAGAGCCAATAATTAGATGTGCATATGGCAAAAACAAGAAAGCACTTTGATTTGTTCCAACTGAGGAAGCTATGTATGAGCTTTTTAACTTTTTCTTATGCTCACATTTCTCTTACATATTTGTGTTTTATGATTTCTTATGGACTAAATTGTATTCTGCTCCCTCACCAAATTTACATGTTGGAGTCCTAACCCCCAGCATCTCAGAATGGGACTATATTTGGAAATAGGGTCTTTAAAGTAAAATGAGGTCATACGAGTGGGCCCTAATCCAATAGGACTGGTGTCTTTATAAAGAGATTAGGATGCAGACACACAGAGCTAGGAGAAGATGATCATCTACAAGCCACAGAGTGTGTCCTCAAAAGACACCAACTCTGCCTACACCTTGGACTTCCAGCCTCCATAACTGTGAGAAAATACATTTATGTTGTTTATTGGTTCTTTTGCTATGACATCCCTTAGCAAACTAATACACAGTTCAGAAAAATGAATTGCTTAAAAAAAGTTAACCTTTTTAGTAATAATGGTGGTAGCTGGCATAATCACTGGGGAGACGGGAAGGCAATTAAGCAATACATATGAATAACCAGCAAATTTACATTTATAAGATATCCTTGAGGAAATCCCCAAATGGGCCTGAAACTCCTGGCTCTGCCATGTAGTGATTTTATCTTCCCACTAGAGTAGATGAAAATAACAAATTAAGATGATTTCTAAGAGGAATGTATGGCAATATCAAAGTCCCCCATCCTGAAAGAGGCTGCAGAGAAAGAGTAACGTCTGTGTATTCCTTGCTTAGAGAACCTTTGTTGAGAAATCTAGCTTGCTTGTTTTTTATGATACATATGTCAATGGTTAGACTAAAAATACATTTTTTTTTTTTTTTGAGATGGTGTTTCGCTCTTGTTGCCCAGGCTGGAGTGCAATGGCGCGATCTCGGCTCACTGCAACCTCCGCTTCCTGGGCACAAGTGATTCTCCTGCCTCAGCCTCCCGAGTAGCTGGGATTACAGGCATGTGCCACCACACCTGGTTAATTTTTTACTTTTAGTAGAGACGGGGTTTCACCATATTGTTCAGGCTGGTCTCGAACTCCCGACCTTAGGTGATCTGCCTGCCTCAGCCTCCCAAAATGCTGGGATTACAAGGGTGAGCCACTGCACCCAGCCTCAAGAATACATTTTTCATTTCACATTCCAAATAAAGAAAAAGTAATTTACAACTGGATTTCACCTTAGGACCCCAATTTCAGCCTCTGGGAAAGAAACAAGGTCAGACACCTCTATTTGGATGGAACAGTCACCAGATATTCCATATAGCCTTAGCAATTGTCTTTGAGCAAAACGCCCACCCTCAAATTGCCAAGGGCTCAGGACCAGGCCACCCAGTGACGGATGTTGCCTCTTCAGGCAGAGAGCTGCAAGCTGTGCAGGTTTCTGGATGTCATTCGAGCACTGAATTTAATTGGAAATACAGGGCCTGTGAGAAACTTTGACCAGTTCATGCCATTAAAGAACCAAAGTTTCATCTGGTTCAGATAAAAGAAGATGTTACTAATTTTTTTTTTTGAGACAGAGTCTTGCTCTGTTGCCCAGGCTGGAGTACAGTGGCATGATCTCAGCTCACTACAACCCCTACCTCCAGGTTCACGTTATTCTCATGGCTTAGCCTCCCAAGCAGATGGCACTACAGGCGCACATCACCATGCCCAGCTAATTTTTTGTAATTTTAGTAGAGATGGGGTTTCACCATGTTGCCCAGGCTTGTCTTGAACTCCTGGCCTCTGGTGGTCCACCCGCCTTGGTCTCCCAAAGTGCTGGAATTACAGACGTGAGCCACCGCACCTGGCCAATATTACTATTTTGACTATTAATAATCATGCATATGTATAAAGATTTATAAGAAAATGTTCATGACAACATTATTTATAAGAGTAAAAGAATGGAAATACCTCACTCTAAGTCATTACAAAAGGTGAATACCATGCTACCATTTATGCTAGTGAATACCATGGTCTGACCAAATACAAACATATTACGGAAGTATAGGATTCTATTCTGCAAGAACTACACCCACAACCTGTCCACATACTCTGTATTCTGTTGCTCTAACTTCACTGGAACAAAAAAAAAAAGGACTGGGCACAGTGGCTCATGCCTGTAATTCTAGCACTTTGGGAGGCCAAGGTGGGTGGATCACCTGAGGTCAGGAGTTCAAAACCAAGGTGGGCAACATCGCGAAACCCCATCTCTACTAAGAAGACAAAAATTAGCCGAGCATGGTGGCGCATGCCTGTAATCCCAGCGACTCAGGAGGCTGAGGCAGGAGAATCACTTGAACCCAGGAGGCGGAGGTTGCAGTGAGCCAAGATCGTGCCACTGCTCTCCAGCCTGGGAGACAAAGGGAGATTCCATCTCAAAAAATAAATAAATAATTTGAAATAATAATAATAAAAAGAAATAAACAAGTAAAATACAGGGAAGGAAGCTTGAAGATTAACTGGGAAGGAGAAAAAGGAACTTTCTGGGGTAACGGTCATATTCTATACCTTGATAAGAGTTTGGGTCACACAAGGGTAAGCACTTGTCAAAATGCAGCAAATATATGCTAAAGATTTGTGCATTTCATTGTATGTAAATTTTACATCAAAAGAAAAACCTGTAAACAAATATCAGGCTGAGTGTGGTGGTTCACGCCTATAATCCCAGCGCTTTGGGAGGCCAAGGCAGACAGATTACTTGAGGTCAGGTGTTTGAGACCAGCCTGGCCAACATGGCGAAACCCTGTCTCTACTAAAGATACAAAAATTAGCTGGGTGTGGTGGCGCATGCCTATAGTCCCGGCTACTCAGAAGGCTGAGTACCAAGAGAATTGCTTGAACCCGGGAGCCAGGGGTTGCAGTGAGCCGAGATCGCGCTGCTGGACTCCAGCCTGAGTGACAGAGAAAGACTCTGTCTCAAAAAAAAAAAGGAATACAAATATAAAACTCTAGCTAATTATAGGAGTCCTGCAGTATTTAACAGGACATAATGCTGATATCTGCAATTTACTTTGAAAAAATGGTTGAATGATAGGCGAGAGGGATAGAAAGATGGATAGAGATATGCTAAAACAAGCATAATAAAATGTTAATAGTGACATCTAGGTGGTGGATAGACTGCTACTAACTACAATTTTTTCCACTGTGTGTCTGAAATTTTTTAAAATAAAATATTAGGGAATATAAAAAACATAACAAAACTAAAAATGTCACACAGAAGTTAAACATTTTGCTAAATTGTATTACTCGCTAGAACAAAATAACAAACCAAGTACTGTAACTTCTAACAACTAAGTCTGAATTTGTCCAACTAATATAATCTTACTGGGTAGGTTCTGATAAAAATAATGACTTATTGAAATGTATCTAAAAGAAAGGAATCACCTAGGGCGTAGCCAAGAAAGGGCCTCACATGCAAAGGCATGTATCAAATGTGGTCTTATGTGAGACCACAACAAGCATCTCTGGCTAACTCAAGATTGTGGAATTTAATAATTAGTTGGGGGAGGGCATTGTGGGTTTGGTTTTGCTTTTGAGATTAGGTAACAATATTGGGTTTGAATTTAATAATACTGTTTTGTTTCATTGTGTTTAAGTTTTATGAAGCTATAATTCATATACCATATAATTCACCTACTTATAGTATATAATTCAGTGGGGTTTTTTTTGTTTTTTTTGAGATGGAGTCTTGCTCTGTTGCCCAGGCTGGAGTGCAGCGGCTTGATCTCGGCTCACTGCAAGCTCTGCCTTCCGGGTTCACGCCGTTCTCCTGCATCAGCCTCCCGAGTAGCTGGGACTACAGGCACCCGCCACCATGCCTGGCTAATTTTTTGTATTTTTAGTAGAGACGGTTTCACCGTGTTAGCCAGGATGGTCTCGATCTCCTGACTTTGTGATCCGCCTGCCTCGGCCTCCCAAAGTGCTGGTATTACAGGTGTAAGCCACCGCGCCCGGCCAATTCAGTGGTTTTTGTACATTCACAGTTGTGCAACCATCACAACGATCAAATTTAGGACACTTTTATCATCCCGAAAGGAAACTTTATACCCTTTGCAGTTGCTCCCCATTGGACTCCAACTGCCCCTACCCCTAGCTTTCAGCAACTACAAATCTACTTTATGTCTCTATATATTTGCCAATTCTGGACATTTCATACAAATGGAATCATACAGTACGTGGTCACACAATACGTATCTAACTTCTTTCACTTACCATAATGCTTTTAACGTTCATCTATGTTGTACCATGTATCAATGTTTCATTCCTTTTTATGACTGGATAATATTATATTGTATGGATATATCACATTTTGTTTATCCATTTGTCTATTGATGGACATTTTGGGTCACTTCCACTTTTTGGCTATTAGGAATAATGCTGCAATGAGCATTTGTACAAGTTTTCCTGTGGACATATATTTTCAGATCTCTTGTGTATATACATAGGAGTGGAACTGATGAATCTTATGGTAGCTCTATGTTTAACCATTTGAGGAACTACTAGACTTTTTAAAGTTGCTGCATCATTTCAGATTCCCACTAAGAGTATGAGGGTTTCAATTTCTCCACAATTTCACCAGCACTTGTTATTATCTGGCTTTTCTATTATAGCCACCCTAGTGAACAACATTATGTTTTGAGGCATTTCATCTACAATATCCAATGAAGAGGACATTGGCCGACATTATATTTCTTATAAACTAAAAATGAAATATATGTTCATTTCAAGAGGAGTTACCAAAACATGAACTCTCGTGACCATCTGTCAGTCACTTTTGGTCCCAGCACATCAAATTCAACCAATCAAAGCTCAAGAAAGCCTTACTCTTTTCCAAATTGTTCCATACAGGTTTGTTGTCTTACTCTAACCATCAGATATCAGCAACTAAATTCTGTTAGTAGTTGATGAAGCACTTTATCAGCAATATAGAATAATTGAAAAATTATTGTTAGACACATAGGAAATTCTCTGTTTTTAGAATGTTGAAAAGAATTAAGTTACCTGACATTTGGAATTAATAGCAAAATAAAGAATACCCAACAAAAAAATGTTAATGAGCAGGAGAGAAATGTCATAAGAATGAAAAAACCTAAATTAGGTGACAAAACTAATTAGGAAGACTAGAAATAGACTCAAATACTTTTGAGAATATAGTATAATTAAAGGTGAGATCTCAAATAAAGGTAGAAATTTGCTAAAAAGTGAACTTGAATCCATAGCTCAAACTTTAAATCTAGATGAGTTCCAAATGGATCAAAAATCTTAGTATTAAAGAAAAAATAAGAAACCATGAAGATATAAGATAAGCCCATCATTTCTAAGAACGACACAAGTCAAAAGATGAAATTTCTAAAAAATTCTCTTAGCAAAAAACACAATAAGCAAAGTCAAAAGACAAACTGCTAACTGGGAAAATGTTTCAATTTATAACATGGATAAAGGATTAATTTCACTAATAAAAATTTCCTATAAATTGGCCAGGCACAGTGGCTCACGCCTGTAATCCCAGCACTTTGGGAGGCGCAGGTGGGTGGATCACGATGTCAAGAGATGGAGACCCTCCCAGCTAACACGGTGAAACCCCATTTCTACTAAAAACACAAAAATTAGCCGGGCATGGTGGCACATGCCTGTAGTCCCAGCTACTTGGGAGGCTGAGGCAGGAGAATCACTTGAATCCAGGAGGCGGAGGTTGCAGTGAGCCGAGATCGCGCCACTGCACTCCAGCCTGGTGACAGATCAAGACTCTGTCTCAAAAAAAAAAAAAAATTCCTACAAATCAACATGAAAAAGAACAACAACCTAATAGAAAATTAGGCCAAGAAAATTAACAAGTGGATCACAGAAAAGGAATATAAATGTCTCTTTAAAAATGCGAAGATGCGGACAGGCACATTGACTCACACCTATAATCCCAACACTTTGGGAGACCAAGGCAGGAGGATCACTTGAGCCCAGGACGTCAAAGCTGCAGTGAGCTGTGATCATGCCATTGCACTCCAGTCTGGGCCACAGAGGAAGATTTGTCTAAAAAAAAAGATGTAAATTAAAACCACATTGAGATATAATTTCTCAGTTATCTAGCAGATGAAGTTTAATAACACAATATATTGATGAAAGTGTGGGCAACTGGCATTCTTCTACATAGCTGGTGGGAATGTACATTGGCACAGCTCAATGGGGGACAAGTTAATAATGGCTATCAAAATTAAAAATGTATATACCCTTTAACCCAGAAATTATACCTCTAGACGTGTATTCTTACAGATATTCTCACGTTTGCAAAATGATATATGTCCAAGGTTACTGAATATAGTATTTTTGTAGCAAAATATTAGAATCAACTTAAATGTCCTTTAACAGGCAACTGAATAAACATGGAGCGAATACTACCCAGCTGTAAGAAGAGGAAGCTCTTTGTGTAGTGATATGGGATGACTATCAATATATATTGTTATCTTTTAAAAAGCCAGATGAAGAACACCATGGTTTGCTACTATTTGTTTTAAAGAAGGAGAAATGTATATGTAATATTTAGTTACTTGTTTTAAATTTATTTGGAAAGATACTGAAAATAATGAAAATTTTGGTGTCTCAAGAGAGAAACTGGGTGATTGGTGGACAGGATTGAGAGGGACACTTTACATTATATATTCTTTGGTAGCTTATGGACTGTAAATGTCATGAACATAATAGCTAATGAAAATTAATGAATTAAGATGTAACTGCTGGGCGCAGTGGCTCACACTTGTAATCCCAGCACTTTGGGAGGCTGAGGTGGGCAGATCACGAGGTCAGGAGTTCAAGACCACCCTGGCCAATGTGGTGAAATCCCATCTCTACTAAAAATACAAAAATTAGCTGGATGTGGTGGTGCATGCCTGTAATCCCAGCTACTCAGGAGGCTGAGGCAGGAGAATCACTTGAACTTGGGAGGCAGAGGTGGAAGTGAGCCAAGATCGTGCCACTGCACTCCAGCCTGGGCGACAGAACTAGACTCCGTCTCAAAAAAAAAAAAAAAAAAAAAAATTAAGAACATTTGGCTGGGCATGGTGGCTCACACCTGTAATCCTAGCATGTTGGGAGGCTGAGGTGGGCAGATCATGAGGTCAGGAGATCGAGACCATCTTGGTCAACATGGTGAAACCCCATCTCTACTAAAAACACAAAAATTACCTGGGTGTGGTGGCGGGTGCCTGTAGCCCCAACTACTTGGGAGGCTGAGGCAAGAGAATCGCTTGAACCCGGAAGTCAGAGGTTGCAGTGAGCTGAGATCGCACCACTGCACTCCAGCCTAGGCGACAGAATGAGATTCTGTCTCAAAAAAAAATAATAATAAAAATGATGGAACTAAATCAGGATGATGGATGTCCTTTCTTTTGTTGTTAAATAAACATTCTTATGAAACAGCAAATATTTATTACCATACATTTATATTCTTTTAAAGTTTCATTCAAAATATGATTCAGGGGAACCGCCATCTTCCAGTAATTCACCAAAATGATGAACACAAAGTGAAAGAGGAGAGGCACCCGATATATGTTCTCCAGGAGTTTTAGAAAACATGGAGTTGTTCCTTTGGCCGTGCACAGGCGAATCTAGAAGAAAGGTGATATTATAGACATCAAGGGAATGAGTACTGTTCAAAAAGGAATGCCCCACAGGTGTCACCATGGCTAAACTGGAAGAGTCTACAATGTTCCCCAGCATGCTGTTGGCATTTGTTGTAAACAAACAAGTTAAGGGCAAGATTCTTGCCAAGAGAATTAATGTGTGTATTGGGCATGTTAAGCACGTGAAGAGCCAAGATAGCTTCCTGAAACAAGTGAAGGAAAATTATCAGAAAACTAAAGAAGACAAAGAGAAAAGTACCTGGGGTTCAACTGAAGTGCCAGCCTGCACTGCCCAGAAAAGCACACTTCGTGAGAACCAGTAGGAAGAAGCCTGAGGTGCTGGAACATATTCCCTATGAATTCATGGCATAGTAAGTGTTTAAAAAATAAAAGACCGGCGGGGCGCAGTGGCTCACGCCTGTAATCCCAGCACTTTGGGAGGGTGAGGTGGGTGGATCACGAGGTCAAGAGATCGAGACCATCCTGGCCAACATGCTGAAACCCCGTTTCTACTAAAAATACAAAAAAATTAGCTGGGCGTGGTGACGGGCGCCTGTAGTCCCAGCTACTTGGGAGGCTGAGGCAGGAGAATCTCTTGAACCCGGGAGACAGAGGTTGCAGTGAGCCAAGATTGCGCCACTGCACTCCAGACTGGCGAGAGAGCAAGACTCCATCTGGAAAAAAAAAAAAAAGTTCAGAAACAAATGTTTTGGAAGCAGTTTTAAAGAAAAGCAGTCTGTTCTTGTAAATACATTCTATTTTACTTACACAAAACTTTTCCTTTTTTCTCTTTAAGTCACCAGAAAATAAATGTACTGAGTTTCTATTCTTGGCTCAGATTCAACTAGAATAGCGAAGAATTACAAGATATATAAATGAAAAATCCTGTTCATTTAGTAAACATTTCATACTATATTTATACAGTGAAATTCATTGATAGTACTTTTTTTTTTTACTTATAAGTTTTTATTGGTTCTAATTAAGCCTGAGAATAAAGTCTTGTGAAACTGTCCTCTCCATTACTGTCTATTCTAATCTATTCTCGACAGGCACCACAATAAAGCTTTCACCCCTGTTTTGGTCTGTTATATCCAAGCCACATGTGCAGTCAAGGAAAAGGTGATGTTCCTGTAGTCTTTTCTAAACTACCATCTGCTAATATTACATAGATAAGCCATATTTTAGGCACTTTTTTCTACCATCTCACAAATCTGTATGTTGGAATTCTAGGAATATATGTTAATAGATCATTTGGTGTATTTTAAGTGGTTTTTCAAGAAGCAAAGTTAGGGTATTTGTTGTTTCTTTTACGTCTCACGCAGGCAGGAGCAAGGAGGGATGATTTAAAAGCTCAGGAATGGCCAGGCGCGGTGGCTCACGCCTGTAATTCCAGCACTTTGGGAGGCTGAGGCGGGTGGATCACTTAAGGTCAGGGGTTCGACACCAGCCTGGCCAACGTGGTGAAACCTTGTCTCTACCAAGAATACAAAAATTAGCCGAGCATGGTGACGGGCGCCTGTAATCCCAGCTACTTGAGAGGCTGAGGCAGGAGAATTGCTTGAATCTGGGAGGCGGAGGTTGCAATGAGCCAAGATCATGCCACTGCGCTCCAGCCTGGGTGACAGAGCAAGACTCTGTCTCGAAAAAAGAAAAAGAAAAAAAAAAAAAAAGCTCGGGAATGTATGGCACAGAGATGGGTGGAAATTGATCATGGAGGACCATAGGACCCTGTTTTCTAGAGGTCCAAATGATACAATTTGGAATAAAAGAACGTCTCTGCCTTGAACCCAAGGCTGTCCTCCTGGAACCCTGAGTGGAGCAGGCAGTTCTAGAAGCAGCCATGTAGGGATAAAAGGATGGCAAAAAAAAAAAATTGTCTACACCAACCCATGTCTCCTCGAATATATCTGTTTTCAGGTATGTGAAGGAAAGCTAAGATAATTCAGTGGATTCTTCACTGGGAAAAAGGCCAGATTCCAGTTTATAAGTGAGTATAACCCTGAAGACTTGCCTCCTTCTCCTAGACAGGGCTTGAGATTTGAGTTCCTTTCTTCCCTTCATTTCCTCCAGTGAACACTGGCTGATATCTGTATAGCCTGTGCCCGTAAGTCAGGAATTTGCCAGGGTGTCACAATTGTAAATGCTATGCTCCGAATTTTGGACCATGGTATCTAAATTTTGGTTTTTGGGATATAGTTACAGTAGACCTAGACTAAATTCTTATCTGTTGACCTTGACCAAATTCCTTCCTATTTCTCTTTTGGGAGTTCCCTGAATAATAAGGATCTTGTGGGGAACAACAGTTCCTAGTGGCCTACCATCTGGTGGAGGCCACAGACTGATTAAGTAAGTATCAAGTGAACTGTGGGATAAGGGATTTGGCAAGGGCAGTGCCCTGCCCAATCTTCAGTAGTCAGCTTCTAGGCCCTCTGACCAGCAAAGTCTTCAGACATCCCCAGCAGGCTCTACAGCTCAGACTCTGAGGGGAGCATCATTAACCTTGACTCCTCTGCCTTCTGGAGAATATTTGAGCGCAAACTTGCTCAAATACCTTCAGGGTCCAGATGGTACTGTAAGTATGTTAAAGGAACATGATCTAAAGGGATGGTCAAAGCTGGGCATGGTGGCTTGAGCCTGTAGTCCTAGCTACTTGACAGGCTGAGGCGTGAGGATCCCTTGAGCCCAAGAATTCAAGCCTAGCCTGGGCAACGTAGCTAGACCCCCATCTCTGAATAATAATAATAATAGTAGTAATAATGGGATGGTCAGACTTATGACTCACTGCAAATTGCATGCACCACTAAAAGGCATTCCAGTTCAAGTAAATTTTTAAAACTGTGCTTGCCAAAGAAAATACATGCTGCCAGTTTCCAACTTCTGGTTGGAAGGGTCCACATCAATCTCAGAGAAGAGAACTGATCTTGGATAGAACCCTGTAAGCTTAAATGAATGCATTCCTTGCTTAATTCCGGGTAACCAGCCTCTTCCAAGATGGGGTTTCTGTTTGGTGCCTTGGCTACATGCTGCTGCTTCTTCGTATCTCCACGGGCAACCCGAGGCACTCTGCAGTGGCCCTCCTCAAGACTCTACAGCAGACCACTGCTGCTGATTAACTTTATTTTCTTTCCGTTCTCTGAGCACCACCACATTATGGATTTTTTTTCAACCCTGGTGTCTGGTTAATTCCAATCATCTTCTCTCTCTGTGTTCCCCAGTGTTCAGACCCTTTGTGCTAATTAGCAGTGACAGACGTGTCACCAATCTTGCTGTTTCTCCAGGGGAAGAAAAAGCTTGCTTTTTAAAATTGATCTGTGAGACCTTCAGGAGCCACCACATGCTCCTGGAAGCTTCTGTTAGAAGGAGAAAGGTTCAGTCTGAAAAACCAAATGCAGAGAAAATCTCAACGTGGGCAGGCGTCTAGCCATCCCCAGCAGCAGGTAGCAGGGACAGATGGGGCTTCCCACTGCTCAGTGCTGATGGGATTTTCAGGAGTCCTGGCTTTCAAGGTGAGATAGATGTCACAGACCCAGCAAGGGCAAAGTCTGACTGCCCAAAGTCAGCAGGGCCATCAGTCCAGCAAGGAGTCAGGCACCTGAATGTGAAGGAGGCCACGGGCAGCATCAAGTGACCGTACAAAAATCAGAATTCAGCTAACAAGGGGTCAAAGTGAGACATTTAGGAGGACCGAAGAAGAATTCTGGGTGGTGGAAGGTTTAAAGGGACATGGGGCCTCTTCCACAATCGCTCTAAGATTGTCACCTGTGTAGAACTCCCTAAGTTTTAAAGGATCCCTGGCTAATGAGATAAAGAAGCCTAAAGACTTCAGAAGCTTCCCAAATCTGCATCTGAAGGCTGCAGCTCTTTTTCTGGCAGGAACTGAAGCTCAAAAGGGAGATCAACATAGAGTCTTCACTGGGAGATGATGTCTCAGCATTTGGTGGTGAAGCTCTGTGACTGAAGCCCTGACCTCCTTCTTGGTAGAGGAGGCCAGAATCTTGACATCTTACCAGAACAGAGATTAAGCTCAGAGGCACATGCAGGACTCTAAAAAGACAGAAACAAAACAAAACAAAATAAAATAAAACAGTAAACATTGGCCTAACACACAAAACTACATTAATGGTAGTTAGCTATCTCTATGAGGCCACAGTCACAGAATTCCTTTGGGTTTTAATTTTTAGGTAAAAATATGATATTTATTACAGTATTACAGAATGTCTTACAATTTACATAATTAAATTCATTTAGTTGAGACTTTTATCATGTTTCTGATCATTACAGCTTTTTTCTTTCTTCTGGGATATCTGGATACTGTTGAAATACTGTGGCAAAAAAAACAGTATGGTAATATTTTTGCTCAGTTCTTTTTTTTGAGCTTCGGCACCTAGGTTGGAGTGTGGTGGTGAGATCATGGCTCACTGTAACCTCAACCTCCAAGGCTTAAGTGACCCTCCCACCTCAGCCTCCCAAGTAGCAGGGTCCACAGGTGTGCACCACCATGCCCTGGTAATAATTTATGCTCAGTACAAATAATTTTTTATTACTATTCTTTCTAGGAATCACCTATCCTAAAACACGTGATACATACAAATTACGATATCTCAATAACAGCTAGATTTTGCTGTGTGCCAAGGCACTGTTCTAGGTATTTTACATATATTGTCTCATTTAATTCTCTTAACAGTCCTAAGCATTAGGTGGCATTTTTATCTCTCATTTTACTAATGGGAGAATTGAGATGCATAAAGATGGCTGTAATATATTATTATATTGGGGATATTTATGTTAGGAGTTCCTGGATAAAAACCAGCCCAGAAACCTAGTTCTGTTTTAACTTCTTCCAAAGGCC